>NC_000001.11:58947774-59099289 GCF_000001405.40 Homo sapiens | reverse complement strand
GGGCTGTGCCAGTTGTTGGGGATATAATGATGAGAAAACCAAACATGATTCCTGCTGTTATAAAGCTCCTGGTTAATGAACCTTTCCTATTTATCATGTGGGGTTTTATAAAAGCAAAATGTAAACCCAATTAGCAAGCCAGGCCCTGGAATTTCAACAGATTCTATAATCGCATAGCGTAGAAAGTGAAGGCTTTAAATACTTTTATGATCCAGATCCCAGTTTGACTCATCACGCAAGCAGATATTACCTAAAATGAGACAGAATCAGAACTGGAGGGAATACATGAAGGAGGGAACTGGGGAACAGTGGGTCATGATCTGACCAGGATCATATAATTAGTGAGTAACTGAACTGGGACGGGAACCTTGGTATCCAGCCTTCCAGGCTGGGGTGCTTTCCAGCACACACCCACTGTCATTCTACTTTCCATCTGCATCTTTTGTCACTGCCATGGATGTATCAGGGTTTCAGTATCTGTGCTGATTGTCTAGGGAACATTAGCCAGAAATGAACAGCACGTTTCTAAGAAGGACCTGATATCACCAGTCATTATGTCATGAGGCTGCAACTCAATCCCCAAAGAGGGTAATTTAGCAAAACTACACTGATATGTAGATTCAGGATGTGGACTGAATGTGAAAAAAATTAGAGTTACTCTAGCACAGAGTTCTTTGGAATCAGACGCAATAATTTACTCTCTGTGTGACTTTTTTCAGGTTGTTTAATTTCACTAAGCTTTATTTTTTTTTTCACCTTTAAAATGAGCTTACTAGCATGTTTCTTGTGGGATCCAGGGAAGAGACTGCTAATTGTTCCCAGTTTAGTTTTCTCCTTCCTCTATAATAATAGAACTCAAAAAAAAAAACAACAAAAAAACAAAACAAAAACAAATAGAACTCTTAGTTCTTAGCTGAGCAAACAACTGTCTGGAATGAAGACAACATTTCCTCAGTTTTTATTATAGTTGGGGATAGCCACATGAATCTGTTCTGCACAGCGGGAGGTCAGCAGAAATGGCATGTCCAACTTCTAGGAAATATCCTTAAAGTACCAAGACATGGCCTTCTTTTTCTCCCATTTTTCCGCTGCCTCCCTTTGGTTGGAATACGGGGGTGAAAACTTCAGCTAGAGGAGCTATCGGGGACCATGAAGTAACTTTGGGAATGAAGGCCACATGCAAGGAAGCATAAGATAACAGTCTGGGATGCTGTGAGCACTAAACCCCTGTCCTTTTTAAACTATGGCTATTTGAGAACTAAGATGGTTCACACAGTGATGGGAAGAAGTCCCGCTAATATTAACTCCTTGCTCTAAGGACAGCTGCTGCTTTTGTCTGCTTGGCTTCCCTTTCTCCTGATTTTAATAATTGCACCTCATGTTTTCTTTGAGGAATGACCTCTTCCTCCAGACTTAGTGGAACTGTCAATTTAAGTTGTATCACCCTTTCCTAAACTGGACCAACTGGACTTTGATTTTGGATGGAACTTGAATCTTGAACAGTGTAACCCAAGCACGAAGAGTGCAAGAATGGATATGTTCTGGAGGTGGGTGACAGGGAAAGCTCTTTCTTACTAAAGAATATCAATATGGAAATGTAGCAGGAACTCTAAAAATAGAAAATCAGCATGGCTATCATACTGGATTCAAACAAAAATCATCAATGGAGCTAAAACCATTGCATGAAAAGATGCTGGGAAACAGGATATTCATACAGTCTCCAAGTATAGTACTCTACAGATTACTTATCAACTACAAAGGCATAAAGCTACATCCCCAGTGGAGTAATCTGGTGAGCATCACTTAGCCAGGTGATCAAAATTTATATCACCAATGATAGAGCATACTGTCGGGCCCTGAGAAGGAACATCACCTATCTAGTATTCATGCCCAAATGGGTTAACCCGAATCGAATCAAGAAGAAATAAGCAGATGAATCCAAACTGAGGGAGATATTTTATGTCAGTTGGCCTAGACTCTTCAAACATTTTACTGTTATGAAAGACAAAACGCAAACAAACACAACAACCTGGGAATTCTAGTTGAGGAGACTAAAAATAATGATAGTTAAAATACATGATGCTTGATTGAATCCTGGATAAATATAACAACTTTAAAGGACAGTTTGAGGACAATTGGGGAAATTTGCATCTGGACTGTGTATTAGATTATAGTATTGTATTAAGTTTCCTGAGTGTGAAAACTGTGGTTATGTGGGAGAGTATTCTTGTTTCCTTGTTCTTGGAAGCTCCATGCTGAAGTATTTGAATCAAAGTATCATGACTGCAACTAGTATTAAAATGGTTCAGCAAAAAAATTGAAAGTAAATACACACACATACACACAGGAGAGAGAGAGCACGCAAATGTTGCCAAGTGTGAACCCTTGGTGGGCTGCTTGGTGGCTTGATGAACTTGTACTCGTTGTACTATCCATGCAATTTTTCTGTAGCTTTTGACACTTTTACAAATAAAAAGTGGGGGGAAAGTCTTTCTTCCTCTTTCCATTTATAGAGTGAAACACAAAGACCTTCAGTGCAATGCTTATCTCTTGTCACATGCCTTGGGTCCTTAAAGCCAAAAATCCAGTGGATGGTCAGGGGTGTGAGTCTGCAGCTATCAGCACGGAGCCGAGGAGACTGTCCGCTGCTAGGGGTGACACTTGATGTGACGTCCGTGAAGTCCGCTCAGTCCGTGTATCAGTGGCCTTTGGGACATTCCCAGTGCAAGGAAATTGAGAGCCCATGACAGAAGTAATGAGGCCTGGCCCCTCTCCTTCAGACTTGTCTCCTACCTCTCTCCTGGCCTTCTACTCTCTGGTTCCTTCTTCTCCATAAATAGGTCCTGTTGGTCCCCACCTCTGGACATTTGAGCCTGTTGGTCTCAGAGTCTGTAATGTTTTCCCTCAGGAGCCTTGCATGGCTGCCTCTCTCAGCTAAAAGCAACCTCCTCACCAAGGTCTTTCTTGCCCACAACAGCTAATGCTTTCCTCCACCCCCAGACCCCTCTCTACCCCATTTCACCCTTAGGTTTCTTTCACAACCTTCATCACTAGCTGAAATTCTAGCTGGAATTCTCTTACTCATTGTCTTCTGCACCCAGATATTGTATTATTCAGGATTCTGCAGAGAAACAGAACCAATATGAAAGGAGATTTATTATTAGGAATTGGCTCAAGTGCTTACAGAGATGGAGAAGTCCCATAATCTGCTGTCTGCAAGGTGGAAAGCCAGGACAGCTGGGGGTGTAATTCAGTCTAAAAGTCTGGGGGCCAGAGATCCAGGAGAGCCAATGGTGTCATTCCCAGTCTGAGGGCAGGAGAAGATGAGATCAGCTTCCAGCTCAAGCAGTGAGGGAGGAAAAAAAAGGGGTGAATTCTTCCTTCCTCTGCCTTGTGTTCTATTCAGGCCCACAGTGGATTAGATGATGCCCATCTAGGCTGGGGAGGGCTGTTTGCTTTACTAAGTCCACTGATTCAAATCCTAGTCTCATTGGAAGTACTCCTGCAGACATATCCAGAAATAATGTGTAGTCTGGGCACACCACGGCCCCATCAAGTTGATCCATAAAATTAACCATCACAGATTGGACAAGGCCTGCCCAGCTGCTGCTCTTGTGGTGCTTACATTCTAGCAGGGAGGGTGGCATTGGACAAGTAGCCAGGAACATGATGGGGTTAGGACATGGGGAGGAGCTATGGGAGGGGAGGGCAGGCACTTGGGCTGGAGGTTGGTGGGATTATTTGCAATCATCCAGGGATGGAGTGATTCCAATCAGGGTAGGACATATACTCTACCTGTGTCTAATAATAAAGCTACAATGAGGAACTAGGTCTCACTGAAGCTCCTTTCCCTACTCCTAGAAACCACTGTATCAGGCTTCTATGGGTGCGGTGCCATTGAAGTTGTCCTCTCTAAAATCATTAACTGGCCTTCCAACTGCCCAATCCACTGGTCACTTTTTTTAAACTTTACATTTTATTTATTTAATTTTTTATTTGATAAGTATATTTACTCCTGCAAGAAAAAGCTCATAAAATTAGATTAAGTGAAAAAGGTAGTATACAAAACCAAATAAAGTATGCTCTCACTTTCGTTATATATAAATCTATGCTTTTGTTTATTTGAGCATGTAAACCGATGTGCACATTGCAAGGATATGCAGCAAAATCCGAACAGGGATCATGTGAGGAGATGGAATTATGGTGACTTTCATTTTCCCCTTCATACTTTTTCATGATGAGCATGTATTACTTTTAGAGTCAGGGGAGGAATATTGTTATTTTTAAAGTGTACTGAGTGTGTTCCACCATCTTGCACTACGAACTGACTGTAGCAGCCATTTGTGGATGTGAGATGGCAGCTTAAAGAAGTGGCACCAGTTCTTCACCTTTCTCTGGACCATGTGACTGCAGCTCCTCCCACAGTGGCAGAGTGAACCTCATGGCCTCTGTTTTGTTTTGTTCATTTTCTTTTTCTTTTTTTGTTTTAGATGGAGTCTTACTATGTTGCCCAGGCTGGAGCGCAGTGGCATGATCTTAGCTCACTGCAAGCTCTGCCTCCCAGGTTCACACCATTCTCCTGCCTCAGCCTCCTGAGTAGCTGGGACTACAGGCACCTGCCACCATGCCCGGCTAATTTTTTGTATTTTTAGTAGAGACGGGGTTTCACCGTGTTAGCCAGGATAGTCTCGATCTCCTGACCTCATGATCCGCCTGCCTCGGCCTCCCAAAGTGCTGGGATTACAGGCGTGAGCCACCATGCCCAGCCTGTTTTTTTCTTTTTCAACTGTTACTTTAGAATTGGGGGTATATGTGCAGATTTGTTACAAAGATATATTGCCTGATGCTGAGGTGTAGGGTATAGCAGAACCTGTCACCACTGGTTACTTTTAAGGCCTCTTCTCACTTGATTTTTCTCTCTGACATCTCTAGTATTGACGGTCAGTTTTT
The DNA here is from genome assembly GCF_000001405.40 of Homo sapiens. Classification (NCBI taxonomy): domain Eukaryota; kingdom Metazoa; phylum Chordata; class Mammalia; order Primates; family Hominidae; genus Homo; species Homo sapiens. The sequence goes on along the minus strand of NC_000001.11, from coordinate 59,094,339 downwards.
CAAAACTCTTTCCCTTCTGTGTTTCTGTGACACATTCTCCTGATTCATTAACATTTACCACACTGTTAGTAATTGCAGGACGCTTTTTTTTTAATCTTACTTGCAACATCTCACTTGATCCTCGCAACGATCTTATAAGCTAGATGCCATTGTTGTTTCCTTTTACCAAAGAGGAAATAGAGGCTCAAATGTGAACTAAGTTGCACAAGCTCACAGAGTTCATAGTGGCAGAAACTAGACTCAAGTCTACTCTTATCTGATGCCCAAGACCATGGCCTTAGTTGGGCTCCATGCCATCATGCCATCTTTTCTCTCCAACCCCTCTCAATCCTTCTTCATCAGTCTCCTTTGTGGGCATTGCTTTCCAGCCAGCTTAGCAAATATCAGAGTTCACTAAGGTTTTATCTTCATGTCTCTTCTTCATAAACTCAGCAGTCTCCTCTTAAATAACCTCAGCTACCTTCAGCTTCGAACTACCTACATGCTGATGATAACCTGTTTATGACTTGGATGCTCCCAGGATGCTACTGTACATCAGTGCCTGGTGGTTGTCTCCTGGGCATTACTGTCCTAATATTTTCCAACTTGAACTCATCACTGTTAAATGAGACCTGCTTTTTGCCTTCCTGTGTTCCCTGTAGATGGTGTGAATATCCATTTAGTTGCCTGAGCCTCATATCCTGCATTCCAGCAGTTAGCAAAGCCTGGGAAGTCTATTCTCCCCTCTTTCTCCTTGCTCTATTTGCCCTAGCACTGGTCCTCTTCATCTCTCAGGATTGTTCTCCCCATCTGGACCCCTCCAACCCATCCTCCACCCATTCTCTAGAATATGGAGACCATCACAGAGACCATCACTTCATGTCCCAGCTTAAATTTAGGCAATGTCTCTCCACTGGGGATGGAACTCCAGTCCTTGTTGTGCACAGAGGGCCTTCACCTTTGGATCTTTTATGCTTCATCCAGATATATTCTCATTTGAGTCTTTTACTATGTTTTCGTACCTATGTACAAGTCAGTGTGGACCTTCTGTTGTTTGCCAACTTCAACACATGCTGCTTTACATTTCAAGGCTGCCCACCAGAAGTGGCCCTCCCCCTTACCCTGTCTCCAGTGACCATCCACACTTCCTTCAACCTTAGCTCAGTGCCTTCTTTAGTGGAGTTTTTCCTGGTCTCTCTTCCTGATACAGAAATTACTATGTCTACCAATCTCCCTCCCTGACTGACCCCAGTATACCCTTTCATTCTAATTGAGGCATCTAAGACCTTTCTCTCTTCATTGATCTTTCTCCTTCATGATTTTGTGAACTTCTTGATACTGGGAATGATGACTGACCCATTCCAATGTCAAGAGAAATGTCTAACACAGAGAAGGCACTTCAGGTTTAGGAACAAATGAATCAATCAATCAATCAAAGATAAAAGACTTCAGGTTTAATGATAAGATCAACCACAACAGCAGCACTGTTGATAACAAACATTTATTGAGTAGTTATTCTGTGCCAAACATTGTGCTAGTTGTTTTTACCCAAATTACTAAGTTCCCAGAGGAATCATGGGTTATTGGCTCCTAATAACAGACAATCAGTATCAAGCTATTATCATGTGTCTAAGCATTTACATGCACTTGCTCATTAAGCCTCACAATAGCCTTAAGAAGAATATTACTACTATTATTATTTTCTCTTGAAAATGAAGATATGGAGGCCTCAAGAGATAAGGTTAATTGTCTCAGGTGACACATCTAGTAAGTGAAGGAAGTGGGATTCATCTCCCTAAAGTCAATGACTAGACTCCAGAATCCATTATCACATACCTCCAAGTGTCCTTTTCAAAGTTTAGAATAACTGTAACTATAGTGTATAGTTTTGAATATTCAGTGTGGTCATTGCAAACAGTTCTGAACTTCAAAACAAATTTTTGGGAGGTGAGAATGTGATTCACATGCCTATGCACACCACACCTCTGAGTCGCCTGTTACTTAAACTCAGATGTCATGATAACAGAGATTTTTACTTGCATCACGTGAGATAAGTAACATGATAAAATATCTTAGCATGAATAAGTGCAGAAGATGTGACCAGGAGTGCTTTGGAAAAGCCATTCGTTCTGGATTCCTAAGTTGTAATCCTCCAGCAAAAGGACTTGAAATTCAGACTTGCTGGAAACCAACAATAGACTAAACATTGCATGCTCACATTCATGCCAGAAGGTGGGATGTTAGAGGAGCCTGACTTGCTGGCTTCAGCCTCCGGCTCCTTGGAATATGGAGTGAAGCAGGATCTAGAAGTTCACAATTTGTACATTCATTTGGCATGAATGCTTGAATCACAAGTGGACTTCAGAAACATTGGGAGCTAGAGTCAGAGAGAAGGAGCTGAGAACAGTGGATATAGTGACAAGTCTGGAATCCTTCAATCTGGGGCTAAATTCATGCTCTATAGCCTTCTTTCTGTGTGAACCTTGGCAAATTACTTAGCCTCTCAGTTTTATTTTCTGTAAGATGGCGATAATAGTTTCTACCTCATACATTTGTGAGAATTAAATGAGAATATGTCTGTAAAGTTCTTCGTAATAATGAACAACATTTATTGGGAATGTCCAATGCCATGCATTGTTTTAAGCATATTTTACATGCATTAACTTATATAATCTTCCCAAGAACCTATAAGGAAGGTACCTGGAAATCAATAGGCTCTCCTGGGACACCAGAGACCAGGGATCCAGGAATGGAAGTAGTCAAACACTCTGACTGTCCCACATAGCAGGTACATCTTGGAAAAGCTACTGCTTAATCTATATGCCTGCCCCTCACCTCCACCTTTAACGAGGAAGCACAGCAGTGAATAGGAGCAGACAACTTTAAAGTTAGACAGACTCTGTCCTCATTCTAGCTTTTCCACATACCACTGAATGTCCTTAAGCAAGTTGCCTAAACATTCTGAGCTGTAGTTTCCTCATTTATATTATGAGGGATAATCCACTGAACTAAGAGGTGGCAATGAGGATTAACTGTGATAAGATCTACAATAATCCTAACTTTAATGAGGGCTCAGCAATGAAGCTGCTACTGTTATCATTTTAATTATTATTTCCCAAATGTAGGCAGTGCACACCTGCAGCCCCACCCTTGCCTCAACTTTATGCAGGTCTCAGCGCTAATTTCCACTCTCCAGAAGAAATTCGTTTCTACCAAAAATGGATTTTGCTGGAGATCTTATCAGGGAGACAGAAGAGGTAATTTACATCACACATTCCAGATCAAGAACTTGGAATCCTCTGTTATCTTTCTTCATATACTTACTAAATCTATTTTCTGTGCTGCCCCTAAACTAGCTCATCTGTCTACCATGCAAAGCTCCATTCTCCAACTTTCAAATTCTTCCAGGATCCTTTCAGTCTCTCACCGCTTCTTAGTCTTGATTGAATTTTACATCTAAACTCACACATCCTACTCAACAAACACAAAGTGCTTCCATGACTAGCAGAGCCTCCTTAGAAGCTGTTTAACTCTTTAGGGATCTCAGCTCTGCTTCCACCCTAAGCCACCTATTAAAGTTCCTTTTAAACTCACAGAGCCCACCTGAAAGGTGTTCCATTAAGTAAATTTCTCTATCTCATTCCATTACTACACCCTTCACTACTAATATTGGGTAGTGAAATCACCTTTGCAGAATTATAAGTGAGAGAATTCTGACATAGCTGACTCAGTCTTGCTTCTAACCTCACAAGCTACCTTTTCTCATTCCTACTTGTATGCCAAGCTAACTATGAGAAGAATTTAGTTTACATTTTAATTTTAAACTAAGGATGATAATAGCCTCCTCCAAAAACTAACCCCTTTCTTGTTCAGTGACTGAAGCTGTTTTTGTAAAACTAATGAAAGGCCACAAGGTAGAATTATGGTGGGGGCCTCAATTATGCTGAGATGTAGGCATAAACTCTAATTGGTCATTGTTTCTTCTGCTAAGTTGCAGGTATTGTTAAACTGTAACCAGGCTATGTTTTATAATCTGCCTTTTGGAACTGCTTATTACTCAAGAGTCACATAGCCAGTGGTCATAAGATTTATAACATCCCCAATTGCCCCTTTAGATAATGTCACTATTGTAAAATCTAAGACGGGTGTTTGAGATATTTTTTAGACCTTCCTTTCTGATGGACCAACTGGCACCACCTGGACTGGTAACCCATGCCAAGAAACTGACTCAACTGGTCCTGTAACTCCCATCTAAGAACTGACTCAGTGCAAGAAGACAGTTTTTTGGTGTTTTTGAGAGAGTCTCACTCTATCACCCAGGGTGGAGTGCAGTGGCATGATCTCGGCTCACTGCAACCTCTGCCTTCTGGGTTCAAGCGATTCTTATGCCTCAGCCTCCCTAGTAGCTGGGATTACAGGTGGGTGCCACTAATACCGTGCTAACTTTTGTGTTTTTAGTAGAGACGGGGGTTTCACTATGTTGGCCAGGCTGGTCTCGAACTCCTGACCTCAGGTGACCCACCCTCCTCAGCTTCTCAAACTGCTGGGATTACAGGCATGAGCCACAGCACCCAGCCAAGAAGACAGTTTTGACACCCTATGATTTTATCCCCGATCCAACCAATTACACTTTCTATTCTCTAGCCCTGCTGCCCACCAAACCATCCTTGAAAAACCCTAGCTTCTGATTTCTCAAGGAGGCAAATTTGAGAAATATCTTCTGTCCTCCTCATTCAGTTGCCCTGTGATTATTAAACTCTTTCTCTGCTGCAACATCTGCTGTTTTCAGTGTTTTGTCTTTTCTGGGAAGCAGACAAGAATAACTCAATTGCACAATAGCAGTAGCTTGGCACATAATAAGTATTCAGTAAATGACAATGATCATATTATTATTTACAGATGACTCTTTCTGTTCTTAGTAAAGCAGGTTTCTTACTGACTTTTCTACAAAATACACTTAACTGATAGAGTAATTCTGCATACGTGGGTGTCACAAACATATAACTTTTTAAGAACATGATAGTAGAGTGGCTGATATGGTTTGGCTCTGTGTCCACAACCAAATCTCATCTTGAATTGTACTCCCATAATTCCAAAATGTTGTGGGAGGGAGCTGGTGGGAGATCATTTGAATCATGGGGGTGGTTTCCCCCACACTGTTCTCATGGTAGTGAATAAGTCTCATGAGATCTGACGGTTTTATCAGGGGTTTCTGCTTTTGCATTTCCTCATTTTCTCTTGCCACTGCCATGTAAAAAGTGCCTTTCACCTTCTGCCGTGATTCTGAGGCCTCCCCAGCTATGTGGAACTGTAAGTCCAATTAAACCTATTTTTCTTCCCAGTCTCAGGTATGTCTTTATCAGCAGCATGAAAATGGACTAATACAGTGGGCTTACTCAAGATTTATTCAAATGATGGTGACTCTTTCCACAGTTTAACATGTAATGACATTTTTTAAAACTAGGATTTTCTTGAATATTACTGACTAATAAGCAAATAAGGAAAGTTGAACTGGTACAGAAACACCCTTGCTTGATCCTTTAATAACAAGGAAGACAAAATTATATCGGCTCTTTATAAAGCAGCAAATGACCATTAGTTTGTTGGATGTAAAACACTGATGACCTGCAAGTGATATTAGCAGTTAGATAAAATCATCAAAATTTCAAATATTATTCTGGTTTCAAAGGATTGGACTATCAAGTCTCATTGAATATTTTACTGACAAACAAAGGTGTGTGTATGTGTATAGAACAGATGGAGTGAGTCTAAGCAGTTTCTGACTATCCAGGCCACTTTCTAGAGCAAGTTTTTAACTTTGCCCCCAAGGCTGATGAATCCTATTCTTCACTACTGGAGAAGAGGGAAGGTCTTCTATTCTTGGACAGAAAAGAACTCAACATAAGATCCGACTTTCTTTATTAGAACCATCTGCTCTGGGCAGAAATTTGCAGATCTTGGTAATATGCTACATTTCTAAAGATTTTTCTTATTCTTTTTGACTTTGGGTGTTTCCAATTCAGGTATATGAATCCAAGGGAACAGAAGTAGGGTATAGAAAGAAAATACAAGAGACCGAATGAGCACTCACTATATTCCAGGCATGCTGCCAGTTGGTTTCACCTACATAAGGATGTTTAATTTTCATTACATTTCAGGTGATCTGTATTATTATTTCAATTAAATAAATGAGGAAACTGAAACTCACAGAGGGTAAAAGGCTTGCCCAAGTTCTCAGAGCTCTAGAGGGGCAGAGTTAAATTGTTTCTTGGTCTTCTGATTCCAAGGCTATGTTCTCTTGTATGTTCTTGGTCTTCTGATTCCAAGGCTATGTATACTATAATGCCTACGAGAGAGAGAAGAGAGGAAACGTACTACGGTTTTCCCTAGTCAGACTCTTTGCATGCATTTTGGGGAATGTGGGGTGGTGGTAAGAGCTCAGGCTTTGGAGAGAGTTTGCAATGTACCTGTAAGGCTGCACCAGTTGTTAAAATAGTAAAAATTGAAATATTTTTATACCAATTGATAGATTTCTGTTGCCCTGAGTCCCTTGAATATTCTCTGTTACCTCAGCCATTCCAGACTCTACTCCAGGATTTTCCATACCCCCCTGTGAGTCAGCAGCCCAGTGGTTAAGTCATTGGACATTAGAGGGCCTTGAGGACCCTAATCCAATTCCTTGGCTAATCTATTCTGATTCATAGGTATCATTATGATATGGTTTGGCTGTGTCCCCACCGAAATCTCAACTTGAATTGTATATCCCAGAATTCCTATGTGTTGTGGGAGGGATGCAGGTGGAGGTAATTGAACCATCGGGGGCTGGTCTTTCTCATGCTATTCTCGTGATAGTGAATAAGTCTCACGAGATATGATCGGGTTTCAGCTTTTGCTTCTTCCTCATTTTCTCTTGCTGCCACCATGTAAGAAGTGCCTTTTGCCTCTCGCCATGACTCCGAGGCCTTCCCAGCCATGTGCAACTGTAAGTCCAATTAAACCTCTTTTTCTTCCCAGTCTCAGGTGTGTCTTTATCAGCAGTGTGAAAATGGACTAATACACTTTACTATATCCATTGTTAATAATTTTGAGTACCATTTCTGCCCCATTCTCCTTCCTCCTCTCTCATGAACCCAGTCCATCTATGGAGATTTCTATCTTTGCTAATATGAGTCCTTGATTTTTGTGGTGCTTTATGTGAAATATGCGTAGAGAAAAGCAGGAGAGGTAGTCCATACAAGGCAGAAGACAGAAACTCAGTTCATCTACATTATAAAGAATTGAGAGGAGATATAGGAAAGAAAATAGCACCTTGAAGGCTGAAGTTTGAGAAAGAGTGCCAGTGTGTTTGCTGAGGATGTGGTCCTGCAACAACAGTCAAATTCAATAAATTAGTAAGGAAGGAAAGATTTCTTGAGACATGTTTTTTGGGAATTGATCTTTCTTAAAGTTTTCAAAGGACATAAGAGAAAATGAGAATTTGTTTCTAATTACTACTGGGTTATGCTTCTTTATATTCTAGTCAATGCAAAGACTGGGCCGCATGAAGCTCCGGATTTCTGAAGGCGACAAGATGATCTCTAAGATTCCTTCCAATGTTAATCACATACAAAACACCTGAATCAATCCCTCAGAGGTTCATCAACTTCTGTGGGTTCTATAGGTAAGATGACAAGCTATGAGGTCACATGAAACTGATCTCAGTATGTGAGTTACAGTCTTGGATGTACCTACATTTGACTGTGAGTTCTTAAGAAAGTATCTTACCTTTATTGGTCTCAGTATTTTCATTCGTAAAATAGTAGGTAACATTTATTGCTGTTGCTTATTTTGAAATTGATTTTGTTGTTACTATTTTTTGAGTTTGACTTGTGCCACTCTACTTTTTGTCTATCATTTAATTAAATCCGTACAGCAAATGCATGAATTATGTATGATCATTTCCTTTTCACAGAGTAGACCTAGAAAACATGAGAGGCATGCATAAGACTCCTTGCTAGACAGCGGCAGAGCTGCAATTCACGGTGTCCTCTCTGCTCCAAATCCAAAGCTTTCTCCTTTACAACATATGGCTTCCCAACCTACCTCAAGACCCTAGACTGGAAGTCATGAGTAAGCTTTTGTCTAAGAGAATGCTTTGAAAAATATAAAATGCCATAGAAATATCAGGGTTTTAAATATATATTATTAGCTACTCATCTTCTTCTCTGTACTTTTTGTTGTTTCATCAAAATTGACCTTATAGATTTGAGGTGGACACTGGGATGCATCTCCCATATCTCCTTCCTTCCTTCTTTCCTTCCTTCCTTCCTCTCTCTCTCTTTCTTTTTTTTTTTTTTTTTTTTGAGACAGGGTCTCACTCTGTCACCCAGGCTAGAGTGCAGCGGTGCGATCTTGGCTCACTGCAACTTCTACCTCCTGGTTTCAAGTGATTCTCCTGCCTCAGCCTCCCAGGTAGCTGGAATTACAGGCAAGTGCCACCATGCCCAGATAATTTTTGTAATTTTTGATAGGACAGGGTTTCACCGTGTTGGCAAGGCTGGTCTCGAACTCCTGGGCTTAGGCAATCCGCTCAACTCAGCCTCCCAAAGTGCTAAGATTACAAACGTGAGCCACTGCATCTGGCTCCAGATCCCTTTTCAATCAAGAACTTGTTACTCTAGTTCCTGAGGTACTGTCAACCTTTAGGGAAGAGATGGCTGATCCCAAGTCACACTCCTTCCTGTAGCAACCTACATCCAGTGACTGATTGATACAGGAGTATAAAGAGCTCTGGCTTTCTTGGCTTCACTTTTGACAACTCTGAAGGGTCATTTTAGTTCCAGAGCTGTTGGTGGGGTTGGCCAAGATAGTTTTAGAGCCTGCATCATGCTTTGCCTTCTCGCTCTGCCAGTCCTGATTGTGGCCTTTCCCTCTTCCACAAGTGTTCATCTCAAGGCATTCCCTGAGAACATCCTGAGTGCTAAACACCTTCTGAGCCTGCTTCCTAGGGAGATCCATCCTGTAACAATATTTTGTTAGAATTGGTTCTTCATAAGTCTGACTTCCCTACTGACTTGAAAACTTCTTGAGGGCAGGAAATGTGTCATATTCATTCCTAAGTCGCCAGTGCTTGGCTTGATATTAGGTCCAGAAAAAAAAAATTCATTGTATGTTCAATGAACCTCTGGGATAATAATAATAATAGTTAACCATTATATAGTATCCTCGATCAGCTAAATTCTATATTAAAGGCTTTGAACATATTAGCCTAAACCTACAACAGTCCTAGAAAGTAATATTATTATTATTACCATTTTACAGATAAGTAAAAGCAAGCACCTAACGGTTCGAAGTTCTACCCAAGCTTACATATCTAGTGGTGGATCTGGGCTTTGATTGCTGGAAGTCTGTCTCTGAAATTCACTCTCCTAGCCACTACTCCTTACTGCTTCTTGTATCTGTGTACCTATCAATCCACCACTTTATTGAAGGGGGATAGGAAAGAGCTAGGTAAGAGGATACGAAGGGTAGTTTTTTTGTTTGTTTGTTTTTTGTTTTTAATTTCAGGGGAACTGGAATTACCACAGAACATTTCTGGGGATGGAGTGTCTGCTTGTTTTGCCTGGAGTCCAGGCAGGGCATATGAAGAGTGTAGGGCAACAGAGCTCCCCAGGTGACTCAGATGCACAGGCAGGTGTGGGAATCCCTGATGCAGGGGGCAGTTTCAAGTGTGCAGAAGGCACTTACACAATTGCCATAACAGAGGCCCTAAGATGTGAAATGATCTGGCAATAGCTACCCTGGTAGAGAGAGAGGAGCCAAGACTCTCCCTTGTTTCAGGGTCCTGGTCCAGGGCTCTTTGAGCTGCACTTCCTGAAGTGGGGCCAGGAATCTGCCTTGGGCATGGGGGGGAACCACATACCTCACACGTGCATCTAGTGATTACTCAGGAAGTGGAGGCTTTGGGGCTGACAAACGGTACACCGGAAAGGAGAGGGGAGAGCCTGCCAGGAGGGGGTCGGCAAAGCCAGTTCCCTCAAAGCATTGTCCTTTCCTTCCTCCAACAGGATGCCAGGAGCCCCACAGAAAAGGGACTCATTTGTCTTCCTTCCCAGCACAATAACCTGTTGCTGGCCTTTCTCTTGGGCCTTGCTCAGAGCAACAGGATACAGTCTTTGCCAGGGGAGAAGGAAGGAAGGAAGGAAGGAGGGGAGGGAAATGACAGGAGCTCAGGATCTCCAGTCCCTAGCCTGGGCCCCGGAGAGACCCAGCACTGTGAGGCCAGGACCCAGACTAGAGCTGTCCAGGTCCAGTCGGCCTGGTATGAGGAACAATTTCGTTTTACAGAAAACCTTAATCAGATGTAAGCTGAGTAACCGTTAGAAGCTGAGCTATCATTTCTGAGCATATCTGAGTGGCCTCTCTCCAACTTTTATCTTAATCTCATTTAGAAAAGAAAAATAAATTGGGTCAATTTAGAACTGTACCTTCTTTCCTTTTTTTATTCATTGTTAAAAAGAAGAAAAGAAGGTATGCATTGGAGTTTGTTTGTTTGCCATGGAAAAACCCTCTTATTTGCTTGATTAAACAAAAATAACACAAGCTACATAGGAAAAATTTCAGCTACATAGACACCACCTTTGTTTTAAGGCTGTAGTAGTTGACATAGCATCTTCTTGCTACTTTCTCTAGCCTTCTCTGTGGACCACAGTGATACATTCAGAAGCCTGTTAGTTAACACAGGAGTTTTTGAACACTTTTCTATTGGTTTTTCACCTGCTCATTGTCCGTCATGCCTGAGGCCTGCAAAAGTAACCTTTAAAATTTAAAGGTGAAAACTACTGGGCACAGTGGCTCACACCTGTAATCCTAGCGCCTTGGGAGCCCAAGGCAGGAGGATAGCTCAAGTTCAGGAGTTCGAGACCAGCCTGGGTAATGTAGTGAGACTCCATCTCTACAAAAAAAAAAAAAAAATACAAAAATTAGCCGGGTGCCGTGGTGTGCACCTGTAGCTCCAGCTACTTGGGAGGCTGAGGTGGGAGGATTGCTTGACTCAGGATCATTGGAGCCTGGGAGGTGGAGGTTACAGTGATCTGAAATTGTGCCACTGCACTCCAGCCTAGGCAACAGAGTGAGACCTTGTCTCAAATTTAGAAAAAAAAAAGGAGGGTGGGGTATTTGGGGGGAAGCTAAAAGAGAAAAAAAAAATGGGGCATTTTTAAAGCTCTTTTTTTAATAATTGAGGTTCTTCTGGTCTCACCCGAAACCTACAGCATCAGAAAGTGCATGTGTGTGGATGGTAGAAGCGTGGAGGGGGCTTAGCTGTGGAAAAGATGGCAGTGGGTGGGTTGTAGAATTGGAATCAATATTGCAATCCACCACAGAGGTATAAACAAAACTGAACAAATCAATGCATTTTAATAAATGTTTATTTGTTGCATTTATGAACACATATAAATGCCAGACCCTGTGCTGGGTGTGGGTTGTACAAAGCTAATTCTGAAGCTTATAGTTCAATAGGTGGCTCAGATGAGTAGTGAATAACTGAGAGCATTAGAATTATTTACACAGGGAGAGTCAGCTGTCTGGGAGACTGGGGGGGCCCTCCTGAGGTCCCTTACCCTGGCCAAGCACATGGGGGAGAGGGACAGATGAAAGTGAGTCTGAGCTCACCTTCCTCCGTGGGAATGGTTGAAGAAATTTGCACTCCTTTTAGATGAACATTCTAATCTTGCCTCTAAGACTCTTCCAAGGTGAAAAAAAAAATTCATTATATTCAGTTAAAACATGGGCCCTTGATATGAACTCTGCTGCCTGTCAAAGAGATCACATAATTAATTTTTAAAATTAAAGTTATTTGGATTTCAGCACCGACAATTTAGTGATGAGACTAGTGCTCTCGCATACACACACACTCTCTCTTTCTCTTTTCTGTGTTTCCCACCTGGAGTTGAGATGCAGATGTGAGGTGGTGAAGAGGGCCTAAAGGCATTTCTGTGATGGGCCCTGAGGAAAGACGGGGAAGAAAACAAAGTCCCTGGCCTGTGTAGCTCCCAGCCCTGCTGGAGGTCATAGTAGAAAGTAGTAGACTGGGACAAGGTCTAGAGTCAACTGACTCCATCCTGTCTTCACCACTCAGAGTTGCCCTTGGAGAAGATTTCCTAAAAGAGGTGAGAAAAACAGGAAGGGTGGGAACGAGCGAGAGGGCCAGGGAAAAAGAGGGGCAGAGGAGACACTCATTTATTAAGTGTGCGCTCTGTCAAGCACTTTACACATAGGATTTCTCTTGGTCTTTACTATTAATACATCTCCATGAATTACAAATGCTCATCCTCATTTTCCCCGGGGTGAAAATGGAGGCTCAGAGGGATGGATGATTCATACACAGTCATATCACTGGAGAGGGGAAGAACTGGGATTCTTCCCCAAACCAGCCTCATTCCAAAGCACATGTTCTTTAGACTACCCCACCCTTTGGATTAAAAACCCTTTCCTGGCTGATTTTGCATTATCTGATGAAACTGAGATGTGACTGGATGGCAGGTGAACCTCGCCTGGTGAAGAGCCACTCCACTGCCCAATGGGGAAGGTGCCCTCTTTCAAGTCAACAAGGGCACACTTTCTTTCTCAGAACTTTAATCATTACTTTACAACTTGTAATTTATCCTCCTTTCTGTAGGTATCTGGTGTTTCTTGATTGTTAAGGAAGGGAGGAAGTTTTGGTTTATTAAAAGAGAGAGAATTTTTCTGGCTAATGTGTGGCCCATGAGCCACAGACTTCGCATCACCTGGGAGCTTGTTATAAAGGAAGAATCACCAGTCACAGTCCTCTAGAATCAGAACTTCAACAAGATCTGCAGATGTTTCATATGTACATTCAAGTTGGTAATGCATGGGATAGAGGACCTGATTTAGATTCAGGCCCGGGTTCAAATTCCCATTCTACAAATAAGACCTTGGGCAGTTTACTGAATTCCTGTGGGTTTCACTTTCCTCACTCATAAACTAGGAAAGATGATGCCCATTGCACAAGCTTGTTGGAAGAGTAAGGGAGCAATGTTAACTTCAGTGCTGCTATTCAGTATGTCAGTATGCCATCCATGAATGGTACTTCTTTTCTGCCCCATCTTCCCTTCCAAAAAAAAGCATTTCCTCTTCAAGAATGTGCACACTACAGAATCTGTTCTCTGAAATAAAATGCTTCTGAAATACTAATCATATCCATTTGACCAGTGCTTTGCAATGTGGTAGCGACTTGTCATGCATGATGATTTAAATTAAAATTAAATAGAACACTTCAGTTTATCTGTTACTGTAGTCACATTTCAGTACTCAGAAGCTGCATATGGCTAGTGACTAGTGTGTTGGACAGCATTGATATTGGACATTTTCATCATCATGGAAAGTTCTACTTGACAGCATTACCTGGACACCTCCTATTTCTCCTGGGTATTTGCTAACCCACAGCTTAACTGCTCATGCAGTAGGAGCTCAATAGGTGCTCCTTGGCTTGAACTCTGCAGCCTCCCTTATTGGAAAAGAGAAATGATTTGAGAATCCCAAGATCTGTTTTCCAATTACTGCTCCATCTACTCATGAAATGTGTGACCTTGGGTAAGTCACTTTTCCTCTCTGAGCCTCAGTTTTCTCATCTGCAAATTTAGAGGGGGAAAGGTAATAAGAATACCTCATATTAGTCTAGAAGCTTTTTCACTTTTTATCTCTTTTGGTAGTTTCAGCAGCCTTTCATCCCATAGGGTGACCAACTCATCCTAGTTTGACTGGTCCTGAAAACTGAAAGTCTCACGTCACAGGAACCCCATCATTCCTAGGCAAACAGGACGGTTGGTCGCCCTACCTACAGGTCCCCTCCAGTTATAAAATCCATGGTCCTGTGCAAGCCTCAGAGTGGTGTGCCAGAAGCCCCAAAACTGCTGCAAATACCAGAGGAGTATGAGCGCAGGCTCTGAAATCAGACAAACCTGGGTAAGATGCTGATGCTCCCACTTTATTTCGATGCAAACTTAGGCAAATTCCTTAATTTCTCTGAGACTTAGTTTCCCCCCTGCAAAATGAGAGTGCTAATGATACTTCTTCCGCCTGGGTGTTGTTGTGAAGATTAATTTAACAAAGCTTTGCAGAATGCTGAGCGCTCTGAACAATGTGAGTAATTCAGCAGACTCTGGAAAGGGGGCTGATCTACCTTTAGGGAGACTGTGATTAGGACATTCATGTGTAGTCCAAAGTATCTGCTAAAAGAGAGATGACTTGCTTATGAGCCATTAAGTTCCTCTTATCAAAAACTCCCACAACCTCTGCCCCAGACTCAATTCGAATAAATAACAGTTCAAACTGGTTAAATAGAGCACATTTCAACTCCCCCTGCCCCTGCTGGGATAGTGACTCTGATGCAGCAAGTTTACTGAAACACAAACTAATCATTCCTGTTGCCAAAGTAGGCTTTTGGCAGAGGTCTGTTAAGAAAGAAGAGTGAGAAAAATGTCCTGGATTGCTGAGGCAGCACTGTATTTAGACAATTAAATTTGGAAAAGCAAGACAGTTCCTGTAACTACCTCCCACATCCCCTACTCCAAGAACAAAAGGTTTTGTTGAAAGTATTCATATGGATATTAATACTGAAACTTTAAGGAGCCCCTCAGTAAACTCATCAGCTAAGTAATTACACCCAGCCATGGTGCTACCAGTGGGAAGGGTACAAAATCTCGCCTCCAAAAATTAGTCACTTGTAAGTTAACCCCACAGTCACGTCAAGCAACCCACACTTGATGGCTGATTCACAAAGATTCCTTGACATCTCTGTAGTTAAAGGGGCCAGATCACCATGGGAAGTCTGCAGAAAGGGAAAAGTTCACATTTACAAAAGACCTTTATGTTGGAGAAGAGTTTTGAGGAAAGCAGGGTTATAAGTTAGTCATTGGGTTAATGAGGGCAGAAAAGACTAATACTGCCAAGCACTTGTTGGGTGCCAAGCAGGGCGCTGAGCATTGCACCTGCCTGATCTAGTTTAGTACTCACCTAAATCCTGGGGGCAGGGATGTTTCTACCATGCCCAGAGGAGGAAACTGAGACTCAGGGGATGTGGAGGGCTTTGTCCAAAGTCTCACTGCTAAAGTGGCAGAGCCAGAGCTTTGAACTCAGGCTCTAGGTGAGATTTGAGCCTCACCTATGAAGTTGAGATAGAAGAAAAAGATGGGAGTTTTCTTTTTTACTTACAGGAGTTGTTGCAGGGGTTAAATATTCACCTTATGTTTGGCCTTGACCCTCGGAATGTAAATCCATACAGGAAAGACTCTCTTTGCTTTCCTAACCCACCCAATCTCTAATTGTCTCTCTCTCAGTCTCAGAGTCTACACAAACGACCAGGGCTCAGACCTCTCATCTACTACCCGGACTGCTATATCTTTGTCCAATCTTTTATCTTTCCTTTTTTCTAGCTGGTTATATAGGGAAATAGGAAAGACTAAGAATGAAAGAAAGGGAGCAAATAAGAGTGAATGAGAAAGAATGAAAGAGAATAAAGAACCAAAAAATTGAATAAGGAACATTGAAGAAGAGCAAATGAGAGTGATAGGTTAGGCTTTTTTGTCACCCAGACTGCGTTTGAATCATTGCCCTTACATATAATTGCTAGCTGTAAAATTTTGAGTAAATCGCTCTGTCACTCAGTTTCCTTTTCTTAATTTCATAGGATCATTGTGATGATCAAATAATATTGTCCATGCATTTTCTGTTCCCCATTAGGCACTCCATAAACCAACCAACCTCCCTCCCTCTTGCTAACTTCCTTCTGGTTTAGTCCTTGAAACAACTCATGAAGCAAGTGGTATTTATATTCTCATTTTACAAATGAGGAATGGGGAGCCTAGGGAGAGGAAATAATAAGGATCACCCAGCAAGTGAATGTCCTAGCCAGAATTCAAATGCAGATCTGTCTTTCTCCACTACTTAAGAAAGAAAGAGCAAGGTTGGGGGTGGGGGCAATCTGAATGGCACAGGCTTTTACAGTTTCTCCTTTAGCTGCTCCACTGGAGGGCTGTTGAGAAAATTATCCAAATCATGTTAATGAGCAATTGAGTGCTGAGTTTCTCTGAGGGAAGATAACGAACAAAAGCTCTGGTTAGGGCTGGCAGCCAGGAGCTGAGATAGTTATCTCAGCTGATACCACCAAGGGGCTCTCAGCTCAAATAATTAACTCAATTGCCTCCTCTCAGGGGTGAAGTGGGGCTAATAAAACGTAACCACCTAGCCTGTGGGAAAATGACTGAGTGCCCATAGATGAAGTGCTTTCAAGACTGTCTGGCACCTAGAGGTATCATCGCAGAAGCCTTGGTGAGTACCGGCTGGGCCCAGGGAGAGCTTTGACTCCTTGGAAGGAGCCCACCAGTCTTGATGTTGGCTCAACAGAAGTGGATCTGAATCCAGGATGTATCACTCCAGAGCTTAGGATGTTGGATGTAGCTCTCAACCTCTCTTGAGACTTGGTTCCTCCTCTATAAAATGGAGTTAGTAGAATTTACATCCTGGAAAAGGTGTTAGATGGGTATAAAAGAAAGATCTCCATACAGGACCTGACACAAAGCAGTTACTCAGCATACTTGAGATTTCTTCTCCTACAACAGATGTCTTTGGGGAAGGAGAAGAAGAAAGAAATGCAGTCCCCACAGGCAAATAAACTGATTTGCATCGTCTTGTTAGGGAAATGGCAGTTTCCCAACTCTAAGATTTGAGTAGGCAAATCACTTTTACTGACGGTGAGTTTTAATGGCTTCAGCCAGTTGGTCTTTTCCTCCCACCGCTCCATTACTACAGAAATGTATTTCCTTTATCCTTCTGACCCACAGTCTTTGTTGATTGAGAGCTTACTTGAGGCACCGTGGTAAATGCTTTCCTGAGATCTCTTATTTCACAATAATAAAAATGAGTGATCGCATGTATCCTCCAACAACTCTGGAATAGGTGCAATTGTTATCCCTATTTTACAGATGAGGAAACCAAGGCACAGAGAGGTCAAGTCACAGGCCCAGGGTCATTTAGTAATAAAAGGGAGAGTTAAGACTCAAACACAAGTTTGAGTCTGAGTCCACTGCTCTTAGCATGGTTGGAGTCAGGAACTCTTTCCTAGATCACCCTGCAAACACCAGCTGACCAGGCTGAGCAGCTCATCTGTTCAGTTCAGTCACTCCTTCCTAGAGTCTGATGTCCTGCCACCCTCACCTCCTGAAAGCAGGTTCAGAGCTTCATAGTTATTCGGAAGTCACTGGTTACCTTTCCCAAAGCATCAGTAGGGTTACCTGACAAAGAAGGTTATACTAAAGTTGCCAAATTGAGTCGTGGCCCCTCTCCCCTTGCCCAGCCCATCTCTCCTCGCTCATTCTGTAGATCCAGGCTTCCTCTTCCCCTCAGTGCTGCATGGCACACAGTAGATACCTCCCCCTCAGTGCTGCATGGCACACAGTAGGTACCTCCCCCTCAGCACTGCATGGCACTCAGTAGGTACTTGTCTGTGGCCTGAGCTCTCATCACATTTACAGTCTTGCTATATGACTGACAGAGAATATATATGACAGAGAATATGAAAAATCATATTCTCTGAACCACATTTTCCTTATCTATAAAACCAGCAGGGGGAGAGATGGGGATAATTCCCAGAGAGAAGTAACATAGCTAGAGATTAAGAGCATAGGCTTTAAAGCAGACTGCCAGAGTCCATATCTTGCTCCTACTAGTTCTGTAACCTTGGCCAGTTCATGTAACCTCTATATGACTCAGTTTACTGTAAAAGGCAGATGATAGCAATAGTACCTAGTTTTCAAGGGTGTTGTGAGGAGTAGTGAATACATGTAAACTACTTAGAACAACCTTCTAAAGGGCTGTATTCAGGATTTAATAATAATAATAAAACAATTATTACTGCTTGTATCCTGTTACAGAATATAAACATTTCACAGATCTCATTAGCCTCTCATGGAAGCCTCTGAGAGGTGTACCCTACCTCTTTACTTTTGAGATAACAGAGATTCAGAGAGGCCAAATAATTATTCCAAGATCACGCAGCCTGCAAAGGACTGAAAAGGGATGCAGACCCAGGGTTTCTCTCCTCTGCAGAGGCAGATATATGGTAGAGCCTGACATACATCTTGGTGAGTTTTGCTTTCGCTCCACGCCCCTTCCTCCTCCATCTCTGCGTATACCTGAGAATGTCTATGTAATCTAAGCCTTAGTTTCTTTAACTATAAAATGGGGGTGATACAGACTATCTATCATCTGGGAATATCTAAACCTTTGCTGTTCAAAATATGAGCCACAGAACAGCAATATCAGACTCCCTGGAGCTTGTTAGAGATGTGAACCCTCAGAACTGCTGAGCCCAAATCTGCATTTTTAACATGATCCCCCAGGTGATCTGCATACATGTCAAAGTTTGACAAACACTAGACTAAAAGATGTAAAAGTGTTTTGTAAACTATGAAGTCAGGTACACCATGTTAATAGTAATTTGATAGAAATGAATAGCAGCATTTCCTATACTTGCTCAGTATTTCCATTCACACGGACATTACTGGTCACTTGCTCCTGAAGAAGGGGAGGACAAGAAAGTGACCAAAGAGAGGCATTCTCTTGGTTAAGTGAATTGGTTCCTGGGGGAACATGCTTATGTGGGACATATACTAAAATATTATTGTTGCTTATCTGAAATTCAAATTTAACTGGGTGACCTGTATCTTTTGTTTTTTGTTTTGTTTTGTTTTGTTTTTGAGACGGGGTCTTGCTGTGTCGCTCAGGCTGGAGTGCAGGGGCAGGATCTCAGCTCTCTGCAACCTCCGCCTCCTGGGCTCAAGCGATTCTCCTGCCTCAGCCTTTGGAGTAGCTGGAATTACAGGTGAGCACCACCATGCCTGGCTAATTTTTGTATGTTTAATAGAGACAGGGGTTTCACCATGTTGGTCAGGCTGGTCTTGAACTCCTGATCTTGTGATCCACCCACCTCGGCCTCCCAAAGTGCTGAGATTATAGGCATGAGCCACCACAACTGTCTGTGACTTGAGTCTTATCTGGGAATTATTCCTAAATGGATCCAGTTGTCTTTTAAGTGCAAAGTCCCTGACGTTTGGGGTATTCATTTAGCTAATCGCAGAGCCCAGTGTTAGGGCCTCTTTTGATCCTAAGGTTACTGAACAATGGTAGGGAAGGGAATCCTATTAGCAAGTGTCCCACTTTGTGGAGTACCCATCATTTCCAGTCGCTTTACTTAGACAATTACTGCTTCAGTCTTGAGACTTGCTGCTCCAAGTGTTGTTATGGATCAGCGGCGTTCCTTGTTAGAAAGGCAGAAAGAATCTCAGGCACCACTCTAGACCTACAAAGTCACCTGCAGTACAGGTGACTAACATGTACGTTAAAGTTTGAAAGGCATTGGGCTAGGCTATTTGGGGTAAGGAATAGTCAAGTATTCCTTGAAAAAAAGAATCACTAGTAGACTTGATTTTTTTCTAGACTGGTTTAGGTGTACAGCGGAATTGAACAGAAAGTACAAAGTTCCTGTATACTCTTCTCTACCTTCACCTAGTTTTCCCTATTACAAACATCTTGCATTAGTGTACTACGTTTGTTACAATGGATGAACCAATATTACATTATTACTAAGTCAAGTCCATAGTTTACACTGAGGCTCACTCTTTGTGATGTACATCCTATGGCTTTTTGTGGGTTTTCTTGAGGTGTAAATTTTACAATTTATTAAAATTTAAGGTACATTATAAAACTTAACGCTTGTAAGAACCCCGTGAAAGTAGATAATTGAGGGTATTTCTAATTAAATTTTACAAATGAGAAAGCTGAGGCTCAGGGGGGTTATTTAACTTGTCCAAAGTCACAAGGCTGCCAACTGGCAAAGGCAAAATTTAAGGCTAGATCTCTTAATTGAAATAAATATATTTTCTTCCTCAACTACAATGACTTACACAATCTGTTCTCTGTTTTAAAAAAAATATTTCAACTTTTATTTTAGATGCAGGGGGTACTTGAGCAGGTATATTTAATGAGTATATTGCATAATGCTGAGGTTTGGGATACATATGATCCCGTCACCCAGGTGTGAGCATAGGATTCAATAGACATTGAGTCCTTGCCCCGCTCCATGCCTCCCCTCTTTAGTAGTCCTCAGTGTCCATTGTTGCCTTCTTTTTTCTTCTTTTTTTTTTTTTAGACAGAGTCTCGCTCTGTCGCCCAAGCTCGAGTGCAGTGGCGCGATCTCGGCTCATTGCAAGCTCCGCCTCCCAGGTTCACGCCATTCTCCCGTCTCAGCCTCCCAGCTGGGACTACAGGTGCCCGCCACCACGCCCGGCTAATTTTTTGTATTTTTAGTGGATACGGGGTTTCACCGTGTTAGCCAGGATGGTCTCGATCTCCTGACCTCGTGATCCCCCTGCCTCGGCCTCCCAAAGTGCTGGGATTACAGGCGTGAGCCACCGTGCCCAGCCTCATTGTTGCCTTCTTTATGAGGACCCAATATTTAGCTCCCACTTATAAGTGAGAACATGCGATATTTGGTTTTCTGTTCCAGTGTTAATTCACTTAGGATAATGGCCTCCAGCTACATCCATATTGCTGCAAAGGACATTATTTCATTCTTTTTTCTGGTGACTGTGTGGTATTCCATGGTATACATGTACCATATTTTCTTTATCCAATTCACCATTGGTAGGTACCTGGGTTGATTCTATATCTTTGCTATTGTGAATAGTGCTGTGATAAACATACATGTGTCTTTTTGGTAAAATGATTTACTCTCTTTTGGATATATTCTATGGGTTTTGACAAATGCATGATGTTGTGTATTGGCCATTACAGTATCATATAGATTACTGTGTTACTGCCCTAAAGATTCCATGGGCTCCACCTGCTCATCTCTCCTGTCTTTTCCTTGAACAAACTACTCATCTGTTTACTGTTGAATACCGTCTTGATTTGTTTACAAAAAAGAAAGAAAGAAAGACTCCATCCATAAGGACAAAGAGTATGTTTCTGATAAAGAAGCTGATACTTGCCCAAGGTCACCAAACTAGTAAGTGTAGAAGCTGAGTTTTCAAGTCATGTCTGCCTAACTCCAAAATCTGGGTTTTTTCTTTCTTTTCTTTTCTTTTCTTTTTTTTTTTTCCCCTCTCTATTATGACCATGCCCTCTCTTACTAGGAGAGGAGACATTTGTACTTTCGTGCTATAGGGAGGGTGTAGATGTCCCTGCAATTGTTCCCTCTAAGGATAGTTTTGGGGCAGGGAGAGGGCATCTGTCTGGTGTTTGGACTACTGAGGCTCCCAAGGGTTCCCAGTGGGCACTTCAGCTGGACCTGTAGGTAAATTTCTAAAATCTCCCACCAGCTGTTCTTTTTTTTTTAATCACCTCACTCAAACCAGTTATTATTTACAAGTGGGAACATAGAAATGCTAATGATCCTGACTGGGCTTGCTAATTACTCCTTAATCAACTGCGAATGGGCCTTCGCTACCAGCCCTGGGCGGCTGAGAAGAGGGCTCCAGCTGGACAGAGTTAAAGGGAAGCAGCTTGCTGAAGTGCCACTGGCCTTGAGAATAGGAAGCCGTGGAGTGTGGTGGGAAGTGTCTTCTTTGCATGTTTTCTGCTCTGCTCTTTTGTCCTGATGCTTTGGCCCCATCATGAGGTATCCCAAGGGAGGCCAAGGCATTCAGAGGATGTATGAAGCCAGACAAAGCCGTAGTGAACAGTTAGCAAGCAGAGGTTAGTCAACAAATGATGATTGGATCTATACAAAATGTTGGATATTGTGTTGAGTGCTTTCTTCCTGACCCTGTGAAGATTCTGGTTTTGGAGAGACGACATGGAGGCAAGTAAACGTGTAGGGAGGAAACTTCGAGGAACACTTATGAGAGAGGAAGTCATGAGTCAGAGGCACCTGCAGGGGGGCAGGAGAGAACAGGAAGAAAACACTTACAGGGCATGTTCTAAAATATTTGTTGAATAAATTATCTAAAATAAAACACTTTCTATGAGAGATACTTTAATAATAATAGCTGCCACAAATTGTTTACCTAATATGTGCCTGGCCTGTGCCAGTCCATCACAATGACCATTTGAAGTAGAGGTTTACTGCACCTATTCTATAGATGCAGAAACTAAGACTTATAAAGGTTAAGGGTCAGACCCACAGTCATACTTCCAGTAAGTAGCTCTGCTGTTTTTCTGATTACAAAGCTTATACTTATTCCATGGCTGGGTCTGCCCTTTTATTTGGTTAGACGTTTAGATGATACAATAAAAATAGATATTTCAAAACTCAAAAGTTAGAGAAGGGAAAATCCTACATTACATCAGTAAAGGTCCAGCCGAGAGAGAAACCATACCAGTTATTTTAACATGGAGAATATAATATAGAGAATTGCTGCCTGGGAACTCAACAACCAAAATGGCAAAAAGAGAATGCTAAGGTATCATGGAGCCAACAATTACAGGAAGCGGCTGCCTCTGGGACTGGGACAACCAAAGAAAGAGGTTGGCATTATTAAAACTTAGAAATATGGGAGAGAAGGCCCTGCAGAGATGAAACTCAGATTCTGAGAAGGGACACTGCCCGGCTGATGATAGTGTTTCTGAGTTTGAAGGACAAGTCTCATTGGTCTGGGACCCAGATCTCTGAGGAGGGGGCTCAGATTGGTTAGTGTCACTGAGGGGGCACAATGAGGCTGTTTCTGTGAGTGTTAGAAAAACTGCAAATTGGATTTAACCATTGCTCCTGAAACAACTGCTGCTGCCATGGTGAAGAGACATTGCTTATGAACATAGGAACGGGAAGTAAACAGAAAGGAGGAAGCAAACAGAAAGGAACAATCGCTTCTTTCTCTCCTCCGGGTGTGCAGCCTCCTGCTGTGGCCCCCATGGGCTGAGCTCAGCAGGTAACTAGCTAGTCAAGCTGAAATGTGGTTTGCAGTGTTCTAGCTGCAGCATCTCGAAGTACACGTTGTGGTTTGTGAAAAGTATCTGAAATTTAGCATCCAAAGACCTGGAGTACTGCAAAAGCTTTTAATTGGTTTTCCTTATTTCAGTCTTAAATCTATAAACCATGCCTACTGCAACCAGAGTGATTG
Source organism: Homo sapiens (assembly GCF_000001405.40). Lineage (NCBI taxonomy): Eukaryota > Metazoa > Chordata > Mammalia > Primates > Hominidae > Homo > Homo sapiens. The sequence goes on along the minus strand of NC_000001.11, from coordinate 59,071,243 downwards.
TCTTAATCGTAAATCATTTCTCTTTCTAAACCTACAATGGATTCCTACTGCACTTGCAGCTACTTAAACTCCTTGATCGGTTTGCAAGACCTTGTTTGGTTTCCAATGTCTCCAGCCTTGCCTAAACCACTCTTTCCCTCAATCGCTATATCCTGGCTACAGCAGCCCTCATGGAGTTCTTTAAATTCACAGAGCTCTGTGCCACCTGAGGGACTCTAGACTTGCTGCTCCCTTGGTACAAAATCTTCTTCCCCAATTCTCAGTCTAATTCCTCTTCATTTTTCAAAGCTGAGACTAAACATACCTTTTCCATTCTCTGATATTTCTGCCTCTTGGCTGGACCTTTATTGATGCAATGTAGGGTTTTCCCTTCTCTAACTTTTGAGCTTTGAAATATCTATTTTTATCTATTTTATTGCATCATCTAAAAGTCTAAGCAAACACTCCCCTGCCATTTTTCTTACTGCACACTGTAAATATTTACATACAATTTAATGCACTTGTGTGTTTTATTTGTAACTACTAAATATCTATCTCAGCCATTGCACTTTGAGCCTTAGGAAGGCAGAAATCCTGTCAGTTTTTTTGTCTCATAAAACCATGGGTCTGGTGTAGAGTCATTACTCCTTAATTATTTGTTAAGGAATTTGTAGGTTTTTATCTAGCCCCCAGATTAATGGTTGTGTACCTCATATTACTTTTAGGGAATATTTAAGTTCTTCAAGGGCAGGGACCACATCTTATAGGCCTTGTATAGTAATGGGCAAAGAATAAGCATTGATGGGCTGGGCGTGGTGGCTCACGCCTGTAATCCCAGCATTTTGGGAGGCCAAGGCGGGTGGATCACCTGAGATCAGGAGTTCAAGACCAGCCTGGCCAACATAGTGAAACCCTATCTCAACTAAAAATACAAAAAATTAGCTGGGCGTGGTGGCGGGCACCTGTAATCCCAGGTACTTCCGGAGGCTGAGGCAGGGGAATCGCTTGAACCCGGGAGGTGGAGGTTGCAGTGAGCTGTAATCGCACCATTGTACTCCAGCTGGGGTGACAAGAGCGAAACTCAGTCTCAAAAAAAAAAAAAGAAAAGAAAAGAAAAGAATAAGCGTTGATGAAGTCTTGTTGCTTTTTTATTCATAGTAACTAGTCATATACAACGTCACCTACAGACTGTCCAGATTCTTTGGTGCATTTTCAAGTCTTCTATCTGGAGCTGGTAGTGGTTGTCTTAGGGGACAAAACAGGGAAACTGTAGTCACAGGTAAGCATGGAAAACATATATAGAAGTGCTGAAGAGCATAGGCTACAGATTGCCTGGGTGTGAAACCCAGCCCTACCACTTACATGACCCAGATAACCCTGGGAAAGTTGCTTTGCTTATTCTCATTGTTTCAGCTTCCTCAACTATAATGGTAATAATAATGCCTTCTTTATTGGGTGCTGGAGGGTGTATTGAGGTATTCATATTCACAGATGCTAATGGAAAAATACAAATTTAAGTGAATATGTAGGACAGTAGTCCCCCCTTATCCTTGGGAAATACATTCTAAGATCCTCAGTGGCTGCCTGAAACCATAGATATTACTGAACTTTCTATATATTAGAGTTTTTCCTATACACATATATCAATGATAAAGTTTAATTTATAAATTAGGTACAGTAAGAAATTAACAGTAATAGCTAGTAATAAAATAAATTATAACAATATTCCAGCATCACTACTCTTGCACTTTGATGCCATTATTAAGAAAAATAAGGGTTACTTGAACACAAGCACTGTGATATAATGTAACAGTTGATCTGATAACTGAGATGGCTACTAAGTCGCTAACAGGCAGGAAGTATATACAGTGTGGATACATTGGACAAAGGGATGATTCAAGACCCAGGTGGGACTATGTGAGATTTCATCATGCTACACAGAATGGCACACAATTTAAAACTTAGGAATTGTCTATTTATATAATTTTCCATGTAATATTTTGGACCACAACTGAAACTGCCAAAAGCAAAACTGCAAATAAGGGGGGACTACTGAACTGTGTTTGGAAATATAAGCACCTGACAAATATTAGCACCTGCCTCTCAGCTAAATTTTACTTGTAACAAGGAGCTGCCTATATTTTCTGTCACCCTCTTCGAAAATAGAATTGGTTATGCAGTATCCCATGACCTGAAATCTTTATTTTCTATCAACACTACTTACATGTCAGGCTAAGACTTCTTTGTTCACCTCACCTTCAGGTGTAACACTCAGTTTTTTTATTTGTTTTTTTTTTGCAAGGCCATTCTTGTGTGTTAACTTAGATTTTTCAACTGCATTATATGTTTCTCAAAAGCCACATTTTAATTCTATGTTACTTTTCATTTTGCTAATGAGACTTTTAGGATACAAAGTGGGCTCCACATCTACTGCTTAATTCTATCCCAACACAAGGTGAAAGCCCCTCTTGATATCAGTTTAAGTAACTGTAACAGTTTTCAGTTGCAGAGAGTAAGTATATTTAATTCTTCTAGCTAGTTTAAGGTGGACAGAATTTTTTTTTTTTTTTGGTCAACTATGCAGGAGACTATTATTCACCAATATCCATTTCCTTCCTTTCAAGACTAGGACTTTATCCCCTTCCACGTTTTAGCTGGGCATTTATGTGGCTGCCTACATTGCAATTACATTTGCCAATCCACTGGCTGATAGATATGGTCCTGTGGATAAATTATGGCAATGGGGATGTGTGTAAAAGTAACACATAAGTGTTAAGTCATTTCCTTAAAAGGAGGCTGCTTGCCTTCCATTTCTACTCCCCTACTTCCCACATACTGGATGATGGGATCTGGTGATGGGAAAAAGCTTCAGGTGGGAAACACTCTAGAGGTTAATAGGACACCAAGAAAGAAGAAAACTAAGTCATTGAATATCTTTGGGAGATAGAGCTACTATATTCCCCTGGACTGCCTACCAGCTTATAATTTTATGTGAGAGAGAAAAAAAACTTTTACTTTGTTTAAGTGTCCATTATTTATCTTGGTAAGTCAGCCAACACAATGTCCTAATTAAAATATATTAGTATTAAAATAACTTGTAGAATTGAGCTTTTATAAATCATTCCAAAGCCCTGGGCAATACAGGGATCTTCTATTTTTTTCCTTGGACCTCCTGTGAAATGGAAGCTTTGGTTACAAAACTACCTCAGCACTGCCCTAACCTGGAAGAGCTATGTTATGTATGATACAGTCTGTACCAACAGAATGGATGTTCAGTGCCTTGCCTCCTGGTCCCCACAAAGCAAGTGACCCAGCACTGGGCCCTCCACTGATGGGGCTGCAGAAAAACCAATCACTCTCACAACTATGTTGGCCACAGATGCAGTAGAGGCAGCAGAAGTGTGTCCCCTCACTCCTCCATTCCAGAATTTGTGCTCCTGCATCTGACTGGCCAAGCCTAGTTCTCACCCATTGCTTAGCTGGCTTAGCTGTGAGAGAGTCTAGGACATATCTTATTTCTCTCTAGATTTCACATTGGGGATACATACTAGAAAGAAGATAAGATGTATTTTGACTGCCAATCCACCTTATCTGGCATAGTAAACTTTTCAAATCCTGAAGGTATATAGCTAATCAATAGATATTTTTGAGCATTTATTATGTGTCAGCTGCAGCATTAAGTGCTGTGGTTACAGCTCAGTTGACACAGTTGACACTCGAAGGATCACCTATGCAATTTACAACTCAGTGTGCTAAGTTCTGTCAGGTGATGGGATTCAGGACACACTACCCCCAAAATATGGCACCTGGGCATACTGAAGAAAACAGCAAAGGCAGGAAGGGGACTCTGACTTTCCTGTGCTCTTCTCCCCTGAAGTGGGTCTTAAAACCTAGGAAAGAATTTTTGGCCTTCCCTTAAGCAAATCATAAGACTTCCCTGTGAGAGGTGCCTTCCTTATACGTGGAGGAAGGGAACATTTTGATTTCTGAAGACACAGGGATACAGAGAAGAATCTGAACAACCAGCCTTGATAAGTTTCCTCAATTTATTCCCATTAGATCATACCATTTTTGCCTTATCATATTTCTCTATGGCTGTCTATACTTCATCAAACCTAGCATAAAAATATTCAGATTTAACTGTTTCTTTGGGTCCTCATTTCCTTATGAAGGCTGCCATGTCACATAAAATGTTAAATATATTGATAAATATATATAAATCACATTAAATAAATGAGTATGTTTTTCTCTCGTAATCCGTCTTTTGTTAGAGGAGCTTCAGTCCTGAACCCAGGATGGTGAGGAAAAGGCATTTTTCCTCCCTTACAGAGGGAAGCCCACAGCCCTGGGGAAGGCAGAGCAGGGCTGCTCACAGGGGCCATACATACGCATGGGGAAGGGGATGCGCTGCTCAGGGAGGGCCTGGGCTGCTCAGGGAAGGCCTGGGCAGGTGATGCCTAAACTTAGTCCTGATGATGATGCACACCACAGCTTTGTGCTTGAATTTGGACTCTGATGTGAGACTGTGTTGAATCCCACTCTATCACTTATTAACTAAAACCTTGAGTAAGTTCATCTGTGTGTCTGAATAAAAGGCAACATTTGTTTTTGTTTTTTCCCCCTTTAAAAAAAAACAAAACTGTGCTTCAGAAAAGAGGGAGTGACTTTACATTCGACTTTTTACAAGAGTCAGTGTTTCATTAAACAAAAAGATATGACATTACCTTGAGATAATTATCCATTAATTGGATGTGTGATGCCTTTGAAAGAAGTCACTCACCCAAGGTCACATAGCCAGAGGCTGGTGAAGCCAGAATTGCACTTTTCTCCATAACCCACCTCTTAGCTATTAACCACATCATTCTTGCCTACTGGCTGCTTCTCCCTGGTGCACATTCCCTGCCCTGTGAGCTAATTTTCAGGCAGAACTTCTGATGCTTAGTACTTTGCCTTTACTGTGTATTTTTCACTCAGCCTGCACCTTTGGCCTTGGTATCTCCCAACGTCTCAGGCAAAGACTCAACTCCAGCTCTGGGGCCCTGGGGAGCCCTCTTATGTTCTGGCCCCTTTGCTGATTGATGCTGAACTCAGCCCTTTCTTGAATCAGACATACCCCAATCTGAGCATGTTTTCAGATCAAGAGGAGGGGGCAACACTATATACCCCAGACATGCCAACAAGCTGGGATGATTCCATCTGCGTGAGAGAGCAGAATTCAAACTCTGTAAACAGCTGGCCTGCTTAGCATTTGTACGAGCACTCGCAACTCAATTATAGGCAATTCCCTTCTCCATAACACACCAGCCACCATTTGACTCATCTGCCACCTGTATAAATGCCAAGCGATACGTAAGGGATTCCCAAACCTTTCCTCTGCCCCTCCCTGAATTTCCAGAGACGCCCTGACATCACTAGCTTTACCTGTTTTTTCACCCTCACTTGTTCCTAAATCCACTTTGAGCTTTCTCTCAAACACTATGAGAATATGATTCAGGGCCTAATCCAGGGCTGGTGAGCCCAGTTCCCAGCCTGCCAGTGCCTTAACTTACCTAGCAGTATTGAGCTGTATTAAAGGACTAAGACTCACCTTCCATGTTACCCTGAGACTTAGAAGATATTTTCTTATAAAGTACAGAAAAATGGAGAGGCAGCCTGAAGTCATGATTATTGGGATTCTAAAGATGGGAACTGGAGTCCTACTTCTGGTGCTGATAGGCTGTGTGAACTTTTGGCAAGTGATTCCCTCTACCCCTCTTGTTTCCTTCACAGTGAAATCCAGAATTTGGCTCGATGACATGAGGGCTTTTCAACTGCTAATATGTATATAAGTCACCTGAGCATCTGTTAAAATGCAGATTCTGATTCAGTAGGTCCAGGGTTGTCCTGAGATTCTGCATTTCTAACAGAATCCCAGGTGAAGCTAATGCTGCTATACAGTTGGAGTAGTAGGGCCTATATATGATTTCAAAAGCTCCCTCCCACTCCTGGTCTCCGTGTATCACATACTCTCTTAGTAACAATAACAGCTCCAAAGGGTTTAAATATATGCTTATACACACATTTATTAAATTACACATATCATAGGTCGTTAAACCATCAAACAATACAGAAATATAAAAACACAGAATGCGGAAGCACCCTGGTAACTCTACCTCCCAAGAGAACTATTGTTAATGGTGCAAAGTACTTAAGAATATGAGGACCCATACAAAAGTTTACGGCCTTCAGCTGTCCCTGCCCAGTGTGCCTCCAGTATGTTTTCTGGAAGGAGTTAAAGTTTCTTCTCTAGCTCAAAGTCACTGCAACACCCCAGTGTGGTAGATGACAAGGTGGCAAGCTTGGGCATATTAAGTGGAGGACCAGAGCTCTTTGTGTTGTATTCTTCTATGGGGATTTAGAGGTTATGGTTACTTCAGAAAGGGATCTTCACAGAGCTAAGGAAGGGAGAATGAAAATACAGGCTCAGAAATCCAGTCACCTGGGGCTTTCCAAATAGGGGCTTTTTCCTCTTTAATCTTTCTGTGGGGCCATTGCCCACTTACTAGGGGGAAAGTTTGGTGCATGTTTTCCCTAGAAAATGTCCTGTGACATCAAAGAGTGACCTAATGGAACCAAGAACAATGAGAATTTCTTTAGCAATGGGGGCTCAGGATCAACTGGGTCCTGGCTATCCAGAGAAGAATCCTTAGCCCAAGGTACACAGGAGAGAGGGAGATTTTATCTTCTGCCACTTCAAGCATGCAGGTGAGAGGGCCAGATGCAGACTCTGCTCCTGCATATACCCTATCCTATTTAAAATGGTTTCTCCTAGGAGTTTATAGCCTAGAATGTGCTCATTGAATACTTGTTGAATGAATGAGAATCCTAGAAATTTCTATCACTCAAAGAGAATTTAAATGATCATAAGTAAAGGTGTTTGCGTGAATTCATTTCTAGTTTATTGAGGATTTACTAATAAGGATAGGGCTCTTGATAAACATTTTGAGGAGACAGTACGATATAGTAAAAAAGACCCCAGGCTTGAAATCAGAGAGACTGAATCCCAAGTCTACCATTTGTATATTGTTCATCTTTCAGCAAGTGATTGACATTTTTGGGCACTGTTGTCTTCAATGGGGAAAGAATGATTTTTGTCATTCTCACAAGATTAAACAAGATAATGGCTTGAAAGAACTGTATTGAGATGTACAGATGTCAACACATTATTATTATGGGGCATTAAAGGAAATTAAAGAATATTCCAAATTACTGTCACTTGAATTGGGGATGGCTTCACGTACAAGTGATGAGGATATTATCTCTCAGTTTCAGTTACAAATTCTTTCACCCCCATACTCTGTTTTGAGACACTGGGCTGGGACTCTACAAACCAAATTCCTTCTTTGTCAGCAGCTCCCTTTTAGGCCCTGACAACAAAGGATGCTTGAGAGAGACCGTATGACAGGAGGAGGAAGAAAAGACTGGCTGCTTCCTGTTTGCTTCCGTTTCTGTCACCTCAGGCTGGCTTCTTCACACTGGCAGCAGCACTTCCTTCCAGTTGAGTCCAGTTTGCAGTTTTCCAATACATGGAGGAGCAGCCTTGTTGCATTCCCTCAGAGACACCAACATAGCTGCTGGAGTTTCCTCCAAAGAGGTCTGGCTTCCAGCTCCACAGAACTCCTCTTCCTAGCCCAGAGACCTCAGCACCAGCTGAGCAATTGCTATGCATTTTTGACCTGTATTCGAGTGCTCTGGGGCTAATCCTTCAAGTTTCTGCCTTTTAATCATTCTAACCTCTCCTTTTGTTTCCTCAGCAGTAGGGGTTGTTAACTATTTCCTGTAATTGCTAACACTTGTTACTCTTTTTGTTATTATAGTTCTTTAGCACTTAGTTAACAATTCTTTATGTCAAATTCTCTCTTAAAAGTAAGCGAAGTGTTTTTTCTGTATCCTGAACCACTGCACAAATGGACATATTAGGCTAGGTTTGGAGAAGAAATAGGAGGAGAACTGGTATAGAAAAGAGCTCAGGAAACTCCAATAGTCCTTTATAAAGGTTCTTTGAAAAATTCTAGAACGTTCCTAAGGTAAGTAGCTTCTGTGATGGCCCCCAATGATACTTACATGCTAGCATTCATGGCAGGATTGATTATGCCACTTCTAAGATTAGGTTATTTAAAAAATCTGTAGCTTCCATCTTAGGTACTCTCTCTTGTATTGCCAACTTTGGGGAAAACTAGCTGCCGGATTATCAGGTGGTCCTATAGAGAGACCCACATACTGTGGGGCCACAGCCTGCAAACACATGAGTTAGCTCGGAAGCAGATCACCATCCCTGCCCCTGATAGCCCTCAGATAAGACTGCAGCCTCAGCTGACTGCTTACAACCTTGTGAGACGTTAAGTCAGAGACACTCAGCCAAACCACACCCAGATTCCTGACTCACAGAATTGAGATTAAAAACGTTTGTTATTTTAAGCTAGTAAGTTTTGGAGTAAGTTGTTATGCAGCGATAGAAGACAAATGAAGTTTCTTTTATTGAGAAACTATGGAAGGACGAAAAGAAAATATTTTTCCAACTTTATTTTCCTAATCAGTGAATATAGAAAACTGATTTAAGAACCAGCAGTTGTATATAATTATATTCCATTGATATTCTTTCAGTTTCTAAGATTTTACTTTCTCCAAACCTTAGTTTGTTTCTCTTTCTGTCTTCCTTTTTAGTGAAATATATGCTGTTGGAGAGGAAACTGGGGCAGAGAGAAATAATACATATTTCTAAATAATCTTCTGGCTCTAATTTACCCACAGGCATACCCTGAGCTAGGTATTAAATAAAGAAAAACTGTATATTTCAAACCCTAGCTCTCATTTCTAAGGCACTTACAAGTTAATTGAGATGACAAGACACGGACAAAATTAAGTAACCTAAGGAGACCAGGACTAATCAGGATTCTTGTTTGCAAACAGTGTATTTGTCATGGTGGGTTAACATCTTTAACAGGCAAACACAAAGTGTCAATGCTTGGACATTATGTACAACTTTATTTCTTGGCATGAAGGGACTGCGAGGCAGGAGGGGCTGTGTTCTATGTACTTACTTAAGAACCCGGAGCTCTGGGTCCTCCCATCTTGTGCCCCTGCCTTCCTCTAAGTGACATCAGTGAGCAGCTGGGGAAAGAGAGCAAATAGCTGATGAAGTGGGAAGTTTTTGTGGGCTAGCTCTGGAAGTACATCACTTCTTTTCATATTCCATTGGCCAGAATTCAGTTATACAGAGCCAAAGAACTGCAAGGCAGGCTGGGAAATGTAGTCAGCTGTGTGTCCAGGATGAAAAGGAAGTGAGGTTGGGTGAACACATAAATGCAGCCACAAACAAACAAATTCTTGTTGAATTCAACAGAAAAAAGTAAATTGAAGTGGTATTTGCATAGCTACTGCTACCAAGTAGAGTTGTGCAGGTTTTGTCCAGCAGAAAGGTCCTGGGTGAGGGTGAGTGAAAGCTGTGTTCAGCTTGAAGAAAGGTTTGCTTCTTTCTAATGATCTACTAAGAGGGACGCGCCTTTAAGAAACCCATACAAAGGCACTATGTGTGTTAGGACACCCTGTATCTATCTTACAGAATCAACAAGAAGGCACAAAGGTGAGGCTTGGATATCAAGCAGAGCCCAATGCTGGTCAAGAACAATCTATTACAATGTTGCTGGTGACCCTGCCACCACTGGGCATTCACTGCCATGTGACAGGACCCTGACACCCTGGAAGCTGTGTCCTTACATGGTAGAAATGGGTCTAGCTGCCTCTCTGGGGTTTCTTTTATAAGGGCACTTGTAAGGGTGGAACACACATGACCTAATCATCTTCCCACAGGCCCCACCTTCTAATATCATCACCTTGATAATTAAGTTTTAACATATGAATTTTGGGGGACACAAATATTCAGACCATTGCATCCTCTTATTGTTTTCTCAGATCACTCCAGGGACCACTCATCTGGGTTCTCTGAGAAACAGACAGACACCAGATAGGCTTCAATGTGTGAGAAATTTATTAGGGAAAGTGCCTACGAGAGACAAGGGAAAGGAAGTTGGGAGTGTAGGAGAGAATGCAAGTGATGCAAGTGCAGAAGAGAGGGGGGATTAATGAAGGGAAATTGGGCATTAAGGGTCTAGATTGCAGTGCACCTCTAAGAGAAGTATGGCAATGTTGTTGGGGAGGCCTGAGCTAATGTTGGCTCATCAGAGGAGCCCCCGATCTCCCCAGGACCTGACCTATTTTAGTACTCCCAGAGTGCTCAGTGATTGGCTGGGAGCAGCAGTGGGAGCATGGCCCAGATGCAGGTGCAGAGATGGATTCCAGTGCCCAGCAATGAGGGCACTTATGCTGCATGTAGTTTGAGATCTGAGGAGCCCATTGTCATGGCCACCATAGCAGCAATTAGAATGCTCTAAATCAGTGGCTGGACTCAACTGTTTAAAGATTAAGCTTCAGTCATCATTCCAAAGAGTGAAGGGTAAAAAGCTCCCTGCAGGTGAAACCCTGTCTGTACTAAAAATACAAAAATTAACTAGTCATGGTGGCACGCACCTGTAGTCCCAGCTACTCAGGAGGCTGAGGCAGAAGAATTGCTTCAACCCAGGAAGTGGAAGTTGCAGTGAGCTGAGATCACACCACTGCACTCCAGCCTGGGTGACAGAGTGAGACTCCATCTCAAAACAAAATAAAACAAAACAATCTCCTAACCCACGTATCTTTAAAGTCATTAACTTCATTAACAAAGCCCTATTTATAATTTCTATTATGATAACTAATAAAACTTCTGGTGTTGAACAGAGATGAAAGTAACTGAAATGGCTCTGGAGTGGCCTTTTGAGTAAATGCTGGCTTAATACTCCAGCAGTGTGTTTTCCTGCTTAGGGTCACTAGACATCCATGATGTAGAATAAAATAAACTGATATGGTTTGGGTCTGTGTCCCTGCCCAAATCTCATGTTGAATTGTAATCCCCAGTTTTGGAGGAGGGGTTTGGGAGATGATTGGATCATGGGGTTGAATTTCTGCCTTGCTGTTCTTGTGATAGTGAGTAAGTCTAATGAGATCTGGTTGCTTAAAAGTGTATCACACCTCCCCCTTCACCCTCTTTTCCTTCTCTGGCCATGTAGGACGTGCCTGCTTCTCTTTTGCCTTCCACCATGATTGTAAGTTTTCTGAGGCCTTCCCAGCCATGCTTCCTGTACAGCATGCAGAACCATGAGCCAATTAAACCTCTTTTTAAAAAAATTAATTGCCCAGTCTCAGGTATGTCTTTATGGCAATGTAAGAATGGACTAATACACTGACACAGACTTGCAGAGCTCACTGAATCTACACTGAATGACGTTAAAGCGCATTGGCGGCAATATAACATGATGATACCCATATATGGCAAAAATAACAAAGGTGGATCAAAAATGACTAATATCTTGGAATCACCGAGATAATCCAAATACAACACTTTATTATTATGTCTTACCATATCACGATTTAGTAGAATTTTGTAATATTATGGACAGAAGCCTTTGATGCTATGGGATGACCAGAATTTTCTCATTTCCCTTTGCCAGGATATGAACAGAAGCAGGCAGAGGATGAAGCTGATGGTGTGCATGGTAAGAAAGGAGGGCTAGCCCTGTATGTGCTTAACATCTGCAGGATATGTATAGAGAGGTAGCTGGATTAGATGTATGCTGGAAGGAAGGGCTGCACCCCTGACTCTGTGCACAGGTGTGTCACAGGTGGGGAGACAGGAAAACACCAATCCATTCAGGTGCAACTTTTGATTGATCAGAATCTGTGTCAATATCACAATGAATATTTATACACAGCTTTGCTATTTTCAAAGCCTTTTCCTATACTACATTGTCTCACTTAATCCTCATAATCCTGAAAAGCAAGTAGAATTTTTGTCCCCACTTTAAAAAGTTCGTAAGGCACACCTAGTCATTGTAAAGCCTGAATCGAAACTGAGTTCCCAGACTCATGGTCCATCTGTCACCTGTCACCACTAGTTCATGCTGAGGTTACAAAAGCAACTGGGATGTATTCTGTGCTTGCAAAGAGCTCTTCTCTGCAAGAATTCCTTGAGAACATTTGACACTACCGAAAATTCTGAGAAGCTGGAGAAAAAGTGCTTTTTCAATTCAGGTTCTGGGAGAGTAGGGGGAGTAGAGTCACAATGAAGGGAGGGTATTTGTGTGTGTATATGTGTGTGTGTGTGCATGTGTGTGTGTGTATGAGAGAGAGAGATTGAGAGAGAGACAGCGCTTGAGAGAGACAGACAGAGGGGGGCAGACAGCAAGGCATGGCTAGCTACTGTCATAATGAGTTCTTTCCAGGCCAGTGCTTGCTTACCCCCCAGCTCTGATGGAGACACACACTTACTCCTTGGGAGAGGAGCTGAGGTGGCTTCCACGGCTCCAGCAAGTTAGTCTTGGGAGGCAGAAACCTGGAGACACTAGCTTGGTGGTTACCACATAGGTCCAGGCTTGGATCTCAGCTCTGCCTGTGACCTTGGGCCAGTTTATGGACTTCTACACTTTTACTTTGCTAAAATCCTAGCCTCCTAACCCCTCCCTCTTGTCCCCTCTCTCATTCCCTTTCAGAATTGCCATGTCGTACCCAGGAGTAATCTTTTAAAAATGTTAATATACTGGGTGTGGTGCCGCATGCCTGTAGTCCCAGCTACTCGGGAGGCTGAAGCAGGAGAATTGCTTGAGCCCAGGAGTTCGAGTCTGCAGTGAACTATGATCAGACCACTCCAGACTTGCAACAGAGACCCTGTCTCACAATTTTTTTTTTAATTTTAAAAAGTGAATCTGATCAACTCAGGACTCCTGAAGCTTCCTCAGTATTGTCATCAGTAAATAAACCCCAAAGATTTCTCATTGTACTTAGGACAAAATCTCATATCCTTTTCTCATGGAAAGGATTACTTGATCTGGCCCCTGCCTCCCTCTCTACTTCACCACCCCCTTCACTGACAGTTCTCCAGCACCACTCTCTTTTTTGTAATTTACCCCAAGCAGCCACCTCTTCCCCACCTCAAGGCCTTTTTGCCTGCCTGCTTCTGGGGACTCCCTTTCTCTTCTTTTTACCTGGCTAATCCCTGCTCATTCTTTAAGTTTCAACTTGCCTTCCTAAAAGAGGCCTGCCCAGAATACTTTGTTTGAATCCAACTCCTCAACCCCTTTCTTTTCCTTTAAAGCATTCAGCATGATTTACAATCATGCATTTGATTGTGCAATTCCTTATTAATTTCTGTCTCCTCCCATAGGTTGTAGATCCCTAGAGAGCAAAGAGTGTTTCTATTTTCTTCCTTTACGTCTCCTCCTGGAGTCAGTCACAGTGCCTGGTACATAGACGGTACTCAAGAAATACATGGTATATGAAGGAATGAATGACGGAGAGTCACATGTAAAGCACCTTGTCAAAGAACTTTAGCAGATTTTTGTAGTCCTGTCCCCTCCTAGTGGATACAGCCAAGCACCATTCTCAGGAGTGGGTGCAGACAGCCCTCACCCCAACCATCCACCACTGGGGGGAAGGCCCTGACCATGACCCTGTGGGTTAGCCAGGTGCAAAGCCCCCGAGGCTGTGGAACCAGGCTGAGCAGGTCCAGTGGCAGCCCTGCCACCCCGCAGCATAGGAGTGGCCTGGAGGGAGTGGGAACAGGTTGCTGGAGAGCAGGTCCCCTGGGTCCTCATCAGACTCAAACCCTCCCTGTCTCTTTTTCCCTACTGCAGAAAGCTATTCTGCCCTGTCCAATGCGAATGGATTGGCTGCTTGTTTTGTTGTATGTGCTGCTAGGCAACTGGCCTGTTTTTGCTTATTTACCTCCCCTGGGCCATTTCACAACACTTTGTAATAGGCTGTGCTCTCTCTGCTGCACATCTGGTTTGGATTGAGCCTGTCAGAGCTCCCTCTGCGAGGAGAGCTAGTACTTTCCCCAGCAGTCACCAAGACGGCCCCCCGGGGCTCTGGCTGCTCTTTGGTGCTGGACCCCTCTAGGCCTGCCCAGCCCCCATTCCCTCTTCACTCTGCACCTCCCAGTCTTTTTCAACAGTTCACACATTTCAAAGCCTGAAGAGGGGAACTTTTGAGATGGAAAAAACTGACAAGTGTTCAAGGAATATTAGAGGAGAAAGGAAACTTAACAAGAATAAAGTTTGAGTCCCAAACCCTCTCCTTCTCAACCAGAGAGGAGAACTGACTTACCCAATGGGACAGAGAGAGAAAGTGACAGACTCAAGACACTGCTTTCCTTGATATCACACTCCCCAAACTGCAGCTGTCTCATCAGCAAAACCACCCTGCCGATAGAGAGGGTTCAGTTAGATATTACTAGGTTTGAAGGAAACAATAGGTTTGCCCTTCTCCCCATCCTACCTGAAAATTTCAAGTGGGGTTTCTGTAAAGAACCAAAAGAGAATCAGAGGTTTGATAGATGTCATCTTAGAGACACAGGGAGAGAAATGAAATTTCCAACTTTTTTACCTACCTGCATAGAACATGTTGGCCGAAGCAGGGCAGGAGCAGGTGCAGGTGAGTGAAGGAAGACTGGGAACAAACACAGGACACCTCTCTCTGCAACTCCCGCATTGTTCTGGCAAACACATTCCGTACACAGTAAAATCCAAAATCCTGACAATGGCTTGCCTGGCCCTGTTACCTCTCTGACCTCATCCTCCCCTTCACCCACCCTGGTACATTCAGCTCCAGCAATTTGTGCCAAGAGAGCAGAAAAAAAGGTTTTCCTCGTGTGAAAGCAACCAGCCGCTGGGCAGAGCTCAGTGAACAGAGCAAGGACTGGATCACACACCCCTTTGTTCTGTTCATTGTTAGTTCTTGTACCTAGAACAGTTGTGCACAAAGATTGGGCTCCATAAGAATTTGTTGAATGAATGTATGAATGAATGAACAAATGAATGAGTCTGTTTTTCCTCCCAGCTTTTTCACATGATGATATTTCCCTGTACTTGCCTCTCACTTACAACATAAAATGCTGATCTATCATCCTACAGTGTAAATCTCTCATGAGCGTCCCTTTATCTCTCTGTTCCAGGTCACTGTGCTCCTGCCCATTTTTGAGCTTCTGGAATACAAGCTGTGCCTTTGCCTGGAATGTCCCTCCCAGTCTGACTAGGCATCTTCTGATGGGGTTTGACCTGGTTGCTTCTAACACTAGGATGGACCTCTTGGCAATCTCTGGATATCTTTCTGTGGTTTGTTATAATGGTAATTATTACTTATCTGGCTGCTTCACATTGATTAATTAGTGGCGGATAAGAAAACCAGATGGCTAGCTGTGTTGTAACGGAGCTACATGATCTCTATCCTCTAAGGTTTTCTAGTGATTCTTTTTCAGGTTTTTTTATGTTTTGTTTTTGACCTTAAATATAGACCACAAGGGTGTAGAGTGATACGCAAAGCAGAACTCTTGATTTATATTTTCTCCTCAAACTTTCATCTTCCCCAATTACCCACAGTGCATGGTAATACCATCCATTTAATTTCTTAAGACAAAAAAGCCTGGGACTTAGCAATTGATCATGAGTCTGTCTTTCCCTAGACCCAAGCCATCAGCAAGTCCTATCCATTCTACCTGCATGGCACCCCTCAAATTCATCTTCTTCTCTCTACCTCCATGGTCCAGGTTCCCAGCATTCTTGTCTGCACCGCTAACTCTTTATTTTTATTCTCCGTTGTCCAGCAAGTGATTGGAATCATGTTTTAAGACAAATTTGATCATGTTGCTCCTTTGCTCAAAGATGCCCAAATGGCTCCCTGCTGCACGTGGGATAAAAAGTCAGGCCTTTACCTTGGCCCTGGAAGCAACACTCTGGCCCCTGCTAACTTCTCCAACTTCAGTTGGTACCATTCCATTCTCCACTTCTCACTGTGCTTCAGCCACACTAGCGCTCTTTTTGTTCCTTGAACTGGGCAAATCATTCCATTGCCAGAGCTTTTTCATCACCTGTTTCCTCCCTTTGGAATATGCTTCCCTCCAGTCTTCACATGGCTGACTCACCTGTACTTTCAGATCTTGAATTAAATGACACCTCTTCAGAGAAGCCTTCCCTGACCACTCCATTTGGAATAACATGACCTCCCTCCCCTCTGTACACAGAGTCTTACTCTCTCATATCATCTTGTTTCAAGTTCTTCCCAACATGCACCACCAGATTTTCTATTTGTTGTCTCTCTTCCCCCAGTCAGAATGAACTCTATCAGAGCAGGAACCACTGTGGCTCCAGCACCTAGACATACAATAGGCTCTCAAAATGTTTGTTGAATGAATGAATAGATCAGTCAATAGTAACCTAAGAATAAACTGAGAGTCAGGCATCCTGGGTTCAAATCTTACCTGGCTGCTCTCAAGCTATGTGACTTTGAATATGTCATGTGTGGGCTCTGGGCCTCCCTCTCAATATCTCTAAAATGAGATCTGATTTAATGATCCCTAAAGTCCTTTGCAGCTTTCAGATATACTCTGATCCTATCAGCCGTTCAATATTGTTGACCATAAAAAATGGTCAAAGACGCTGATGACAGCAATGACCCCAGCTATAGTTGAACTATTTTTTAATCCCATGAGACATCCCAGGCTACATTTTATTTATGATTTATATTTAAGTATCATATCCAAAAAGTATTTGATGCAGCTCAAGTTTCAGACCCACTTCCCCAAAGAAGTCCTTACTTGCACCATTTATACAGGGAGAAGAAGAAGCACTCCCATCTAGATTGCTGTATCAGAATGGACTGTTATGATTGCAAATGGCAGAAACCTAACTCAATGCAACTATAACAATGAGGGAAATGTCTTGGCAGCTCTTGAAATCCATGGAAGAACAAAATGATCCAGGTGCTGGAGGGACAGCAACAGAGCTGGACCTCAGGTGCTGCTGGAGCCAGAGGCTCAATTTTCACTAGTCTTCCTTCCAGCTTCATCTCTGTCTCTATCAGTGTATTGATATTCTTCTCTCTCAATACAGCCTGGTTCTTTCCACATAGTCCCAGCGCAGCATTTATCACACTCTGTATTAACTTATTTATTTGTTTTCTTGCTTACTTTCAGTCTCTCAGTACAATAAAATATGTTGAAGGCAAAAATCCTATGCATTTCTGTGTCCCTTGCACCCAGTGAAGTGTCTGGAGCATAGAAGATGCTCAATAAATATTAATTGCATAAATCAGTGGTAGAAAACATAGCAACCAACTTATTCAGTGTTTAATATCCAACAACTTTAGTTCCTGGAAAAAAGCTAACAAAACTCTCTAGGGTTCTGCTCAAAAAATAAAATGAGTTAATGAGAAAAACAAGTAAAATCTCAGGGAAGGGACTTATTTGTCCAGCTAGGCCATATGCTTACCCTTGGACCAAACAGTAGTAACTATTGCCTGTGATAATGTCTTTGCATCTATGTGAAGCAGGGGAGGAGAATCTTTTAGAAAAAGGTCATAGGAGGAAATCCCAGAGGAGTCAACACACTCACAGAGTTGTTGTGGAGATCAAATGAGCCATTGCAGAAGAGGGTGCTTTGGAGAGCTATTATGAAGTTCCCATTTTTGTAGGTCAAAATTGATCAAATATTGGCAATTTTATATATTTCCACTTAATGTAAAAGTGTTAAAGATGTTATATGGATGTAAAATATGACTAATTTGATTTCAAGTCAGCAGAATAAGAAAAGAAAACCATGTTTTTAAGATGAAGGGTTAAGTTGATTCCCTTTTATAATGATGGTAGCCGAATATGGTTAGCATGTGCTAGCTTTATGGGGAGCAGTGCTACATGGGTTATCTCATTTTTTTCTTCCAACCCTTCCATGAGATAGGTACTAATAATTACATCCCCATTCTACAGACAAAGAAACTAAAGTTTCAATGAGGTTAAACTATTTGCTCCAGATGACACAGTTCAAAAAGTGACAGAGCCAGGAATTGAACCTGGGTTTCTTGGCCATTTGTTACACTATGTTACAGAAGGAGTCAGAGTTCAGCTCCCCTTTGAAAGCTAATCCATTACTACCAGAAGAATGAATCTTTCCTTTTCCTGTCAATCTACAGACCTGGGTTTACTCTGCTTCCAAGTCATTTGTATGGCATTATAAGTAGTAGAGTATGTGTGACCCATGGCCAGACACATCTCCTCGAGGGCCTATCTTAATCACCTTTGCCCTCACAATGAGCCTTACATTCTACCCAGCCTGTGAAATGTACTCACCAAAGGTTCATTGAGGTAGGCAGAAGACAAAAGACAATTTGCTTTCACAAAAGGATGTAGTCCTTGGTCTGCAAGGACTACAAGTTCCAGGGTGGTGGGAGAGACGGAACAATGGGAATGGCAGGGACAATTATAAAGACAAAGCTCTCATTTGTTGAGAGCCTATTAGGTTTCCAAAAGTTATGTCCAGTATCTTTAGTTTTTCTATTGCCTTGCAAGGTAAGTGGTGGTATCTCCAGATCTTACTGCTTGAGAGCTACAGATTTGTGTTATTTCTAAACTGTAAACATCTCTGTGATTACCAAAGCTGGGCCATGAAGATGTGTTTGCTCTAATTACGATCACACAAATCACTGAACCTAAAAACTATCCACAGCTAGAATTTCACAGAATTCCATTCTGGGCAGGCCCCTAAATTTCTCCTGAATTCAAACCTCACCCACACTCCAGAGCCCTACAACTGTGTCAAACAAATGCTTGACTTGATTTTATACATGAACTTGATCTTGAGCCATGGAATTTCAGTGCTGTGCCTGCAAGTCTGGAATTTAAATATTAGCCTTCCCAACCAAGATAGCTTTGATCTCTCAAGTTTACACACATAAGTATTGATAACATGGCTCGAATCGCAAGCAAGAGCACCAGGGCTGTAGCCCATGGCTGCCAAATGTGTGCATGTGTACACAGATCTCTACTGAGATCAAAATAGACTTAGGTTACACAAGTGCTTATCTGATGGAGGTGGGAGCCCCGCACATGGGCAGAGAAACAGAGCTTACTTTCATGCAGCCGCTCTTACTTGCTGCATCCTACAGGACAGACTTAAGAGTGAACTGTAGGTGAACTCTGGCGTGACCAGGCCATTACAATATGGCCCAACCTTCCTTAATTTTCTAAAGTCTGATTTCTCATTTGGGAGTGGCTGCCATGGTTAGCTACTATTTTTTTTTTTTTTTTTTTTTTTGAGATGGAGTTTCGCTCTTCTTGCCCAGGCTGGAGTGCAATGGCGTGATCTCGGCTCACCGCAACCTCCACCTCCCAGGTTCAAGCAATTCTCCTACCTCAACCTCCTGAGTAGCTGGGATTACAGGCATGCACCACCACGCCTGGCTAATTTTGTATTTTTAGTAGAGATGGGGTTTCTCCATGTTGAGGCTGGTCTCGAACTCCTGACCTCAGGTGATCTGCCTACCTCGGCCTCCCAAAGTGCTGGGATTACAGGCGTGAGCCACTGCGCCCGGCAGTTAGCTACTATTTGCCAAGTATCTGTCTTGCACCAGGTACTTTATGTGTTTATATAATATTAATATCCACATATATTTATATTAATATAAATATCCACTTATATTTATATTAATATATTAATATAAATATATTATAATATATTATATAATTATTATATATAATATATATTATATATTATATATAATAATTATATAATATATAATATATATTTTATATTATATAAATATAATTATATTAATATAATATTAATATAAATATCCACTTATATTTATATTGATATAATATTAATATAAATACATTGTAAGATATACAATGCATTATATATTATAATCAATATATTTTATATTAATTATATAATGTGTTATATATTATATTTAATTATATATTAATATATAATGTGTTGATTATACTATATAATATATTGTATATATTATAATATATATTGAAGTTCCCATTTTTGTAGGTCAAAATTGATCAAATATTGGTAATTTGATGAACTGGCCATGTTCCTCACTGCTCCTAATAAATATAGAAGTATATATTTACCATATATACCATATATAAATATTTGTATATATTTATTATGTATTATATGTCCTATAATAATGTCATATATTAATATGTCAATATAAATATGTGTTTAATATAATATAAATATTATGTTATACTAATAATGTTATATGAACATATAACGTACCTGGTACAAAAGAAATACTTATTACTATGTAAAACTTATGCATGGCGGCTGGGTGCGGTGGCTCACGCCTGTAAACCCGGCACTTTGGGAGGCCAAGGTGGGCGGATCACGAGGTCAGAAGTTCGAGACCAGCCTGGCTAACATAGGGAAACTCCATATCTACTAAAAATACAAAAAATTAGCTGGGCGTGGTGGTGAATGTCTGTAATCCCAGCTACTTGGGAGGCTGAGGCAGGAGAATCGCTTGAACCTGGGAGGCAGAGGTTGCAGTGAGCCGAAATCATGCCATTGCACTCCAGCCCAGGCAACAGTGCGAGACTCTGTCTCAAAACAAACAAACAAACAAAAACAAAAAACACTTATACATGGCAGAAACTATTCTATGAGTTTTACACATAGGTCATTTCATCCACATATCAGTCATATAAAGTTGGTACTACTATTATCTTTATTTTGCAGATGAAGGAACTGAGAGACAGAGAGTTTAATTAGCGAGAGTCACACTGAAAACAAATGGCAGAGCTAGGATTTGAGACCAGACATGTCTCTTTCTGTCTTCCTAGGAGCCTGGTGAGGTAGATGTGGTCATTTAACAGAGAAGGAAAATAAGTCTAATTAACTTGCCAAAAGTTACATGACCTGTTCACAGCAGAAGCAAAATTCAAACCCAGGTCAAAATTCAATACCATGTTTTTCTTTGGACAGCCTGTTTTTGCATGGCCTGATTTTTGTATGGCTGGTGAGCTGAAAATGGCTCTTACGCTTTTAAAGGATTTTTTTTTTAAAAAAGAATATGCAACACTGATCATATGTGACCCCCCCCACCAAAGCCCAAAATATTTGCTATCTGTCTTTTTAGAGAAAAAGTTTGCCAACCCCTCCGCTATACTGTCTCCTCTCCATATTGGTCTAAAATATTAGGTTGGCACAAAAGTAATTGTGGTTTTTGTCATTGAAAGTGATGGCAAAAATTGCAATTACCTTTGTACCAACCAAATACTTTATGAGGGTCAAATGAAGGTGGGAGTGTATATATATAATTTGGGGCAAGATACTTCCCGTTCACTGGACCTCAGTTTCCCCACTTAGAAGGAGAAGTAAGATCTGCAAGCCTCGCCCCAGTTCTAATCTGCCCCAATGTAAGGTGTTGTTCTGTTGCTGTACTAAAGTAAAGTATTACTTTTTCTATTCCACCTCCCGTGTTATTACTTGTTACCTAACTTATTGCAAGAAATTCAGACATTATTATACTTCAATGTTGGAAAAAACCATAACCCCCAAAATAATCCCTGGAAGCTAAAAAAATGCTTCACCTCTAAAACATCAGCCCTTCTGTGATGTGCTCTGAATGCAGACACCTTCATCTTTGCTTATTCTCCCAGCCTCTCTGCGTTTCAGGTTGTTTATTACCTCAGAAGTGTTTGCTTCTGATCCTCCCAGTCTCCCCTACTCCCCTCCTTCTCTCCCAGTTCTCCATGATTTTTAACACTAGCAAAAGAAAAAAAAAAATCAAAGCAATCTACCAATTTTCTTCCAATTTGTTTCCTAGTGTCAGATGCACACACATTCCCTTCTCGGCATCCATTTCTTCTCTTGAGCATGGCCTCCCACATATTCTAAGAACAAAGGCAGCTCCTTCTAATCTTCTGATCTCCTGTATCCTTCTCTTCCTCTCTCAGTGGTCAAGGCAGCCTTGCCCATTTACAGATTTGCAATCTCTCCCAAAGTCCCCTTCACAACCTCCCTCCACCCAAAAAGAAACCTAATCCAGAACTCTCCCCAGGACACTAAGACCTCACTCTGGTCTTGAGCACTAGCCCAGTGCAAGGGCTGACCAGCAGCCATACCTGTTCCTCACTTGCCCTTGAAGGAAGGCAATGGCACTATGGTGATGTAGATCCAGCCTCCATGGAGTCCACGGGTCTCGTTTGTCTTCATCTTGCTTAAGAGAGGGTAGGCTTCTGCTTCTTCCGACCCTCACCCTCATCTCTGTAGGATGGTTGCAGTGCCTCCCAAGGAGACCCCTGCCTCTAGACCCCTTCCCTTTCCTCGAATCGTTACCCACTCTGCAGTCATAGGAAGTCCATACTTAACTGCCCTTCATGGTCCCCTGTGCCTGCAGAATAGTGCTCCCTGCCTTAGCTGTCCATGAGCCAGCCCCTGCCACTCTCTGAACACATTTTTATTTCCTACCATGCTGTCTCTCATTCCCTATGCCTTTGCTATGCCAAAGTACTTAGAATGTTCTGAGCGTTCCACACAAAAAGATTGCACATTCTTTCCCTCGATGGGATGTCCTTCCTCAACTCTGCTTTCCAGGAAAAGTCTGCATATCCTTCCAGTCCATATTAGGCCATTCTCACATTGCTGTAAAGAAATGCCTGTGGATGGGTAATTTATACAGAAAAGAGGTTTAACTGGTTCACGATTCCATAGGCTGTAAAGAGAGTATGATGCTGGCATCTACTTGGCTTCTGGGGAGGCCTCAGGAAACTTACAATCATGGTGGAAGGTGAAGGGGGAGCAGGCACAACACATAGCCAGAACAGGAGCAAGAGAGGGAGTGGGGAGCATGCCACACACTTTTAAATGACATCTCTCACAAGATGCGAAAACTCACTATCATGAGGACAGAACTAAGGGTATGGTACTAAATCATTTATGATAAATCCACCCCCATGATCCAGTCACCTCCAACCAGGCCCCACCTCCAACATAGGGGATACATTTCAACGTGAAATTTGGGTAGGGACACACATCCACACTATATCACGGTCCATGCAGAATACCTTTCATTTGCCCCTCTAGATCCATACATTACCTTTCCTCATCTGCTCTGTATTCAAGAGGTTGATCTATGGGGATTGAATTGGTGGGTTCTTGAACCTTCTGTTTCTAGTTGGGTTTGGCCAACAGGGAGCCACAGGAGACCAGAGGGAGGGAAAAGAGGAAGGGAGAGAGTATGATATTCCTTTGATACACTGTTTGCAACGTCACTGAACTGGCCATGTTCCTCACTGCTCCTCCTGAGGAAAGCAACTCTGCAGGACAGTTCAGCAGCTATTAAGAGTTGTGAGAACAGTTCAGGAGCTATTAAGTGCCTACTCTCTCTTTTGTGATTCTTCTATATCTGCACCTTTGCATATAATCCCTCCTTGAAATCTGCTATTTCCTGGGAGCTGTCAGACTGTTGGGACCCTGATTGGTACACAGTGTGACCCAGCACAAACCTCAGGGAGCTCTCTGAAGGCACATCTGCTATAGATCCTGTTACATTACCTGCTGCTGGTTTGCTTCCCTGACTTCCCCACCAGACTGTTTCATCTCACCTTGTCTTGTAGATATGCAAGAGGCCTACCCACATTTAGTGAGCAGCTGTTATGTGCTGGGCCGTGGCCTAAGCACCGAAGATTCAGAGATTGATAAATGATAATTCCTGACCTTGCAGATCCCTGACTCTAGTACAGGAGCTGAGACTTGAGCCCCATTTAACACTGTGGCTCTCAAATCCCAGATCCACCACTGACTAGCTGTGTGATCTGGGCAAGTCATCTCTCTGAGCCTCAGTTTCCTCATCTGTAAATGGAAATCAGGGCAGCTACCTCGGAGGATGATTGTGAGGATTAAAGTAGTTAGCATAGTGCCTGGCATACACTAGGTACTCAATAAGTGCCCATTATTATTTTTATCGTAGCAGGTGCTTAGTGTATATTAAATGAATAACTGAATGTATTATCTCATTTGGTCTCCATAGCAACCTGTTCTCTACCCTTCCCCACTATATACAATCCAAGTAGACGTGGAAGGAATTTCTTTCCCCATTTCACAGATGAGGAAATTGGGAATGAATGAATGAATATCTAACCCACCAGCCTGCTCTGCCTCCCACCTTTTCCCAGAGGCCACAGTGAGGCTGTTTGTCCAGGGAACTGTGAGCCCTGGGCCCTAGAGGAGTCATCCTGGCTTTCTGTCTTGACTTTCTGGCTCCAGAGGACTTGTGCCAGTAGCTCACCACAATTTGCTCTGTGCCTAACACAGGCTGGGGTTCAGGTGCTCCTGAAGTTTGTAAACACTGGGGTCTGCCAGGCGCTTCCCCCAAAGCCCCAGCTTCCCAGAACCGGTGGCCCCAGTTCCTGTTCAGCTGCTGCTCTTTCTGTAACTCCTTTGCAAGTACCACTGCCCCTTCTGGTAAGTGCAGGGGCCAGGAGGCAGATTCTACTTTCACATTCACTACCACACCCACAGGAGGGAGATTTCTTAAAGTGGAGGGGAACTTTTCTTTTGCTGTAGGCCCAACCTCAAGCCTCCTCCTTAACACCTCAGTTTTTTCAGGGGATACTTAGTTTCCCACTGAAGCTCAGGAAGGGTAAGTCCCCACAACATCAAAACTTGAATCTGCTCCAGAAACATGGGAGTCCCTGATCCCTGCAGAGACCCTGCCCTCCGCTTGGCACGTTTGATGTATATCCTCGTGTACTCCCTCCAATGCCCCTGCACGGTGGGCATAGCTTCTGAATGGCAGTAGCAGGACTGAGGCTCAGGGCAATGGAATGCCTAGTATTGGAATGTTCGAATAAGAAAAACTACACCTTCAAACTTTAGAAGCAGAGTTGGAAATCACTGCAAAACAAAAGTCCCTAAACAGAATGAGTCTTTGCTGTTTCTGTACCATATGCACAGCCCTGCTACTTTGCTTTCTATGAACTGCATGTCTATTTGTGTCCATATCTGTCTCCCCTAGTTGACTATACCTCCTCAAGGATGGAGAAGATGACTCACCCATATTCCTCTCCCCATCCCAGCACATGGCCTGAGGCAAGAAGGGATGGTTGACCTCAGAAGCTGAAAGCAGACCATCGTGCCTGGTGGTAGGGGGTCAGCATAGGAGAGATGCAGGGCCAGGTCACACAGGGTCCTGTAGGTCATGGTGAGGGATCAGGATTTAATTATAGGTGCAAATGGAAGCCACTGAAGGCTCTTGAGGAGGGCCCTTCCTTCCATGTTGTAGAAAGATAATTCTGGCTCTAGGATGAAGAATAGATTGGAAGGTGACAGAGGAGGAAGCAGGAAGCCCAGTTAGGAGCTATCACAACAGAACAGACAAGAGCCAGGGACGTTTTTTCAGGACTATGGTTCCCAGGCTTCAGCGGGCATCAGGATCACCTGCAGGGCTTGTTAAAGCACAGCTCACTGGCCCCAACCTCAGAGTTTCTGATTCAGTAGGTCTGGGGTGAGGTCTGAGTGTTGAGTTTCTATGAAGGTGAGATGCTGCAGTCCCCAAGAACCACTGCTTGAGAAAAGGAGAGGAAGAAAGCGATAATGTGTGGTCTTGTTCTCAAAGAGCTTTCATCTCTGTGAGCACTACATGAACAGTGCAATTCTAGAGAGCCAGATGGATGTCGATTGTGGGATCCCACGGAAGAACATCTCCCCAGCATGGGTGTGGAGGAGAGGGTCAGAGGAAGTGTATTAGTTCATTCTCACATTGCTATAAAGAAATACTTGAGACTGGGTAATTTATAAAGAAAATGGGTTTAATTGGCTCACCGTTCTGCAGGCTATACAGGAAGCATGGCTGGGGAGGCCTCAGGAAACATTCAATTATGGCAGAAGGTGAAGGAGAAGCAGGCACATCTTCACATGGTGAAGAAGGGAAAAGAGAAAGTGCACGAAGTAGGAGGTGTTACACACTTTCAAACAACAAGATCTTGTGAGAACTCTGTCACAAAACAACACTAGGAGACAGTGTTAAACCATTAGAAACCACCCCCATGATCCAACCATCTCCCACCACGTCTACCTCCAACTCTGGGGATCACAATTCAACATGAGATTTGGGTGGGGCCCACAGCCAAATCATATTGGGAAGCTCCTGGAAGAAGAAACTCTTGAATGAAGTTATACTAGTTAACTGGGACTTAACCAAGGGAGGGAGATCCCTGGAAAGAATGAGAAAAAGAGGATCTTCAAGACAGAGGACACAGCTTGAGCAAAGGCAAGGAGATAAGAAACGGCAAGACATGTTCAAGCAATTGGGGCTGAGAAATCCAAAATGAAGATGGTGTATGTAAAAACTGTGTCATGAATGGCTTTGTATTTCCTTTAGACTGAGAGGTTTGAACTTTATCCTGTGGAGCAGTGGTTTGTAAACATTTTTTAGTGCAGGAAGTTGGTCACAGACCTCTCTGAAAATCTGATCAAAGTTAATACTCACACAAACAGAACTAGGGTATACATTTCAGAGTGTTCACATATTTCCTGAAACCTATCCATGATCTTCAAATAAAGAATCCCTGCAGTTGGCCAGGTGTGGTGGGTCACACCTGTAATCCCAGCACCTTGGGAGGCCAAGGCAGGAGGATTACTTGAAGTCAGGAGTTTGAGACCACCCTGGGCAATATAGCAAGACCCCATCTCTACAAAAAAACAGAAATTTTTTGTAGAGTGTGATGTGGTGGTGGGTGCCTGTAGTCTCAGCTATTCGGGAGGCTGAGGCAGGAGGATTGCTTGATGAGCCCAGGATGTCAAGTCTGCAGAGAGTCATGATTGCACGATTGTATTCAGCCTGGGCAACACCGTGAGACTCTGTTTCAAAAAAGAAAAGACAAGAAAAGAATCCCTGCAGTGAATAATGGGTTTTAAGAGGGGAGGCAGCCTAATTGGATTTTTATTTTAGACGGCTCTCTTGGTGACTATGCAAATAATGGATTTGAGCAGGGGTAGTGGGCACAGAAAAGCTGAGGTCTATTAGTCTGAGTGAGAGATAGTAAGTGGTAACGCAGATGGGGGACCAGGTTAACACCTGTAGGCAAGGGTTAAGTTGGTGAGTGTCATGATCAGACTTACTTTTCAGCAAGGTCACTCTGCTCAATTCAAAAAGCATCAGTTGAGAGCTGAGCTCAGAGGCCTTCTTTGCATGGCTTGAATCTAGGCTGATGGGCAATGCAGGCCAGTCAAGCAAGAATGAACCTTCCCCACCCTCACCCCACATACTAGAATCTGCTGGTCATCAGTCAGTTGGGGCCCAGATATCTCATGCCTGTGAGGGCTGGAAGCCAAGGACGTGAAGGAAGGCAGCACTCTGACAAGCTGGGGAGAGGCCAAAAGGGCAGAGTGGGATGGTTAGTTCCTGGGAGGCAGCCGAGGTGTCATTCCTTCCAAAGCTTTCGCAATAGCCAGAGGAAGCAGACAGAGCTCAGATGATTATCTCCGTTGTACAGATGGGAAACTGAAGGCTAGGGAAGGTAAGGACTTGCCAAAAGATGTGTAAGAAACACCAGGGCAGAACTGGGACTAGAACCCCAAGAACATTTGACTCCTATGTCTGTGTCTTGCTTTAGGCCGGCCCTGGGGCAAATGCTGTCTTGCCCACTTCTGGTAGCTCTAAAATCCTGTAATTCTGTAATTTAAATTACTGAGTCCTAGCAAAAGGCTCTCCACCATTCCTTTGGGTTATTTTATCTGTATCTGCTGTTCTACCCCAAGATCTTATTCTCAACCACCTGTGAAGTTTGGAGCGAGCCATTTGGCCTTTCTGGCTTGAGTTTTCATTTCTAAAACAAGAGAGTTCCTCTAAATGCTCCCAAAATATTTTTCTTCTCTGAGTGGCAGTGGTTCAGCAATGGCTTCTGAGACCTTAAATTCTGCCCCAGCTTTGACATGATTACATGATTCTCAATAGCCCAACTCCTTTTGTATATAGGTACCAGGGAATAATAACAGTAATAATTAATGTCTTTTCTTCCTTCCCCATGGGCCAAGCACTGAACTAAGCACTTTGAAGCTTCAGAACAACTTTACAAGGTAATTGCTACTCTTGCCCCCATTTTACAGACGAGCAAACTAGAAAACACAGAGAGGTTATATTACTTAATGTAAGGCCATCAGCTAACCAGCGTTCATATCCAAGCAACCTGCCTCAGGATTCATGCTCCTTATCCCTAGGAGCTGAGGAGTGAGGGATTAAAAGTGCAGGGAAGGTATGAAAACAGCCAGGTAAGCTCTCTGTGACAAGAGGCTCACTACCCCTCAGTGGCATGTTCTATCATTAACCACTTTTTGCAGGTTGTGCTATGACATGGTACCTCTTACCACCTGCAGGGGGGCACAATTATGAGATGTTTCTAGTGACTTGTGGAAGGAATTGTCAGATTTGGCAAATAAAAGTACAGGACATCTGGTCACATTTGAATTTCAGATCAAGTTTGTGTGTCCCATGCAACATGTGGGACACACTTATTCCAAAAAAGTTTTATCATTTATCTGAAATTCAAATTTAACTGGGTATCCTATATCTTATCTGACAAATCTATTTCCAGTGCAACAGAATAAGGACAAGTGATGGTGATTTCTTTCCCTTTAGAAGACTTGAATGGGTGTGATTACTGCTTTGCTCAACTGGTGCAGAAGGTTGACATGAAAGGCTTGGCTGAATCAGTTTCAAGGGAATGGGGATGACCTCTCTTTGCTCATCTCTACTGGGAAGTCCTTTGAAGCCTCCAAAATCACCACTGAGGGAACCTGGAACAGCCCTCTAAACTGGAGCAGAACTCCCCGGAATGATCTGGAGAAGGCCTTGCTCACTGGCTGGCTGTGTCCTTGGCTTAGTTTCCAATGCCTGGCGCACAACTCAGAAGCTACCTTAAACAATAATCTCCCTCCTTCTCAACTTCACAAAGGATCTCCAGGGTCCTTCTAGGATGTTTGGGTCTCCAAGCACTAATTCCTGCTTCTTTCTGAAACTTAGTAACCTCTTCTGTGATAATCAGAGAAAAAAGAAGAAAAACCCATAGTAGATTTTCAATAGATATAACCCATTCACTCCCCTCAACCAACGCCGCCTTCTCACCATCAGATGTCATAGTAGTCATTCCCTTGGGTTTTCCTGCCGGTGAATATTACAGAGTCCTAGAAGAAGAATAACAAACCTCAAAGGATTGCCTGGTTTTAACAACATATTGTGAATTCCCAAAAAATTTCCCCCAGGAAATCTGTTTTGAAATATACGTGGGGTTACTCCACATCACAGACATCTGTGCTGAAGCTTGCTTTCCTCATGGCTGGCATCCCAGACAGACCCCTTGGCTGGAACAAACCTTCATCTCCTTGTCACAACCTGACCCCAATCCTTCCACCTCCCCCTCTTCCCCACAAAGTCACACCCCCATGCCCTGTGTGGAGTGGTTTCTATCAGCAGAGCATGTTTGAGCTCGCTGGGAAAGTGGCCTCTCACATGATTTTAATCTGCTTTGTCTTCCCTGATTACCAAGATGTCCCAGACCAAACTACATTTAGATGAAATGCATTTGGGTGGGTGTACTCTGCCTGCCTCAGCAGAAATATTGTAGCAGCCACCCAGCACATAGCTGAGACATGCACAAAATGCAGACCAGCATCTGAAAGCAAAGGGAACTTTTTAAGGTGTATTATACTAACATCCATAAATATGCACATTTATAGGCATCCTGATTAGGCCTCAGGCAAAGGCCATAGTATTTTTTTAAAAAGGAAAACTCAGTTAAAAAGGACTGAGAACAGAGCAAAACCAAACTCTTCTTGGGTTTTTTAGCTTTGTGGTGTGGATAGGAACTTCTCCTTCCTCCTTGCCCTTCCTTAAGTACAGTACATTTCACTGTGGGATTGTAAAGGACAGGGTCCCAGCTTTTTTTCTGAATAACTTCTTAATGGAAGCTGCTAAACTGACTTTATCAGCCAGACATGTCCTTGACTTTGTCACCTGGAGCCAGAATATCCTCATCACCATTATCTTCTTCATCCCATGGCTAAGAGTCATTGATCATTTATTTTGTGCCAGAAATTTTGCTACATATTCTGCATGATTTATCCAATTTAATTTCATAGTGATCTTCTATTAGAGGTGTAATTTTTTTTTTTTTGAGATAGAGTCTTGCTCTGTTGCCCAGGCTAGAGTGCAGTAATGGCTCACTGTAGCCTTGAATTCCTGGGCTCAAGCAATCCTCCTGTCTTGGCCTCCCAAAGTGCTCAAATTACAAATGTGAGCCACAGGGGCACCCCAGAGGTATAATTTTTAGTCCTCATTTTAAGAATGAGAAGATTGAGGTTTAACAAGATTAAGTGATATGCCCAGGGTCATATAGCTAATCAAGGGGAAAACTCGTATTCAAATTCCAGACTGTGCAACCCAAGGCTGGCACACTTAACAACAGTGCCTATTGCTCCCCAGGGATTGATAGCAAGGCAATTCTGGTAACTACTGGGCCAGGGAGATTAAAGAGACTCATCCTTTAAGGCTCCCACTCAAAACCTTCCTGTATGAGTAGAGTGGATCCATCCCTCCTGTTTTTACTTCTCTGGTCTAGGAAGTTATTTCTAAGAGTTTGAGCTGTTTTGAGGAGACAAGAGGACATAGTGGGGCGGGGAAAAACCCAAAAACTTTGATGTGAGACAGAGCTAGATTTATAGCATGGCCCAGAATCATATGAGTTATATGAAGTCAGAAAACTAAATCTTAGTTTCCTTACCTCTAAAACAGGCATAATTATATTTGCCTCATAGGATTAATATGATTATTAACTAGAAAAACATAGCCTCCTGCTATACTTCGAATGTTGGCGTGCCCTCCACCCCAAAAATTCATAGGTTGAAACTTAACTCCTAAGGTGATAGTATTAAGATGCAGGGCCTTTGGGAGGTGATAGGGTCATGACGACTCTGCTCTCATCAATGGGATTAATGGCCTCATAGAAAGAGGCTTGTTTTCCACCACCATGTGATGACCCAGTAAGAGGGTGCAATCTATGAAGTAGAGAGCGCTATGAAGCTCCCTATGAATCTATGAAGTGGAGAGCTCTCACCAGACATTGAATTGCTGACACCTTTATAAAGTCCGTGATCTGGGACTTTCCATTTGCTAGAACTGTGAGTAATGAATTTCTATTGTTTATAAATTACCTAGTCTAAGGTATTTTGTTATAGTAGCCAAATGGACTCAGACACCAGCATTCAGGGATCCAGTTTTTTTTTTTTTGAGTACCTATTATATACAGAGACCTTTAAGGCCTTGACAAATGTTCATTCTTATCTTTCAATGACAGGATTTCTAAATTACAGGCTTTATATCCCCAGGACCTAGCACAGAGCCTGGGAGATAATATGTGCTAATTAAATGTAGAGCATTTGATACTTTCATGAATTAATAAATGAATGCAATAAAAGCCCATCCAGTTTATCTTTCTGACCTCATGGACCACCACTCCCCTCCAGCTGCATATGACTAATTTGGTATTTAACATACAAGCCACGTCTTTCCAAATCTCAGCCTCGACGCAGGGCTCATATGATTCTCTGTGTCTTGAATGCCTGCCACACCCACTTTGTTGGCCTGGAAAACTACTTAGGAGTTTTACTTTATGAAAAATGCAGAGTGAGTCTGCTCCTACTCCGTATGTCAGCTCTTCAAGCAGTTGAAGTCAGTCCTCATGACTCCCTTCCTTGTTCTACAAATTAGTGCTGCCTTCCAAGTCGAATTTCCCTCCAATAATTGTTATTGGAAATGGTCTCTGAATCCCATACTATTTTGGACACTCCCTGCTTTTCCAGTTGCCTCCTATGCATTCATTCATTGACTATTTATTGAGCACCTACTAGTTGTCACATGAAACAGATTTTTTCACTAGACTATAAGCTTATGAGGTTTACATTCTGATGAGGGGAGCTGAACAACAAACAAAAATGTACTACATATGTCAGCTGTTGATGTGTCGTGGAGGAAAATTCAGTGGGGAGATGAGGAGGGAAGGAAAGGAGAGGATAGACAATTTATGTAGAGTGTGGTCAGGGGAATGACCACAGTTTGAGCAGGGGGATTAAATGAGGGAGCAAGCCATGTGGCTGTCTGAGGGAAGTGTGTTCCAGGTGAAGAAGAGAAGCAAGGTGCAAGTGCCCTTAGGCAAGAGCACTTTGGAGAGTCTGAGGCAGCACCAGGAGGCAGGAGAAGGAGCAATTGGAGATGAGCTCCAAGACAACTAGAGGCAGATCATGCAGGGCCTTGAGTCCGGTGGAAAGGACATTGCTTTAAATAAGATGGAAATCCAGTTCAGAGTTGATTTAAATCCCCTGAAAACTTCTCTCTGGGGCTCTGCAAAGTTGAGCTTTTAGAGGAACAATGATGGGAGCAGACAAAGCTGTGGGAGAGTGATTGCAATGACTGCAGCAAGAGGTGACGGTGCCAGAACCAAGGTGGCTATGCTGGAAATGTGGAAGATGCACACAAATTCTAGATGCACTTGGAAAGTGGAGTTCATTGCATTTGGTTTTCTGTTTGTATTTTTCCCCAGTTTTATGGAGGTATGTTTGACAAATAAAAATCGTATAAATCTAAGGTGTACACAGTGATGATGTGATGTATGTATTAATATATATCATGAAATGATTATTACAATCAAGGTAATTAACATATCCATCACTTCACGTAGTTACTGTTTGTGTGTGTGTGTGTGGTGAGAATACCTCAGATCTATCCTCTTAGCAAATTTCAAGTATGCAATGCAGTATCATCAACTGTAGTCACTGTGGTATTCATGAGATCCCCAGAACGTATTCATCTTATAACTAAATGTTTGTACCTTTTGACAAATGTCTCCCTATTTCCCTCACGCCCTTCAGGCCTTGGCAGTGATCATTCTTCTCACTACATCTAAGAGGTCAATTTTTTAGATTCCACATATAAGTGAGAACACATAATATCTGTCTTTATGTGTTTGATTCATTTCACTTAGCATATTATCCTCAACATTTATCCATGTTGTCACAAATAGCAGGATTTCCTTCTTTCTATGGCTTAGTAACATCGCATTGTATAAATTTGTATAGCATGTCTTTTTTTAATCCATCATCTATTGACAGACATTAAGGTTGTTTCCGTATCTTGGCTCTTGTGAATAATGCTGGAATGAATGTGGAAGTGCAGATACCTCTTTGAGATAGTGATTTTATTTCCTTTAGATATATACCTAGAATGAGATGGCTGCATCATATGCTAATTCTATTTTTAATTTTTTGAGGAACCTCTATACTCTTTTCTATAGTGGCTATACCAATTTGCATTCCCATCAACAATATACAAGGGTTCCCTTTTCTCCACAATCTTGCCAACAACACTTGTTAACTCTTGTCTTTTTTTATAATTGCCATCCTAACAAATTCCAGTTAATGTCCCATTGTGGTTTTGATTTGTATTTCCCTTATAATTAGTTATGTTGAGCACCTTTATACACCTGTTGTACATCTGTAGATCTTCTTTGGAAAAATCTCTATTAGGTTTTTGTTGGTTTTTTTTATCAGGTTATTTGTATTTTTGCTATTGAGTTGTATGAGTTCCCACTGCATTTGTTGGAGAATTAGATGTGGGGCATGAGAGA
Source organism: Homo sapiens (assembly GCF_000001405.40). Taxonomy (NCBI): domain Eukaryota; kingdom Metazoa; phylum Chordata; class Mammalia; order Primates; family Hominidae; genus Homo; species Homo sapiens. The sequence continues at coordinate 59,037,678 of NC_000001.11, read as the reverse complement.
ATCTGCCCCTGTTTTCTTATTTGTGAACTAAGGATGATATTTTCACTGCAGGGTTGTTAACCTTCATGGTAGATGCTCAAGGAATGTGAATTTTCTCCTTCAACTGTCCAGTGCTATGATCAGCAGTGGTCGTAAGACCATTGATTGTGGCAAATAATTCGAGGAATGGATAGGGGAGGGGAGATGATGAATTTCAGGTACCTGTGGGATCCCCAAGGGAGAGGTCCCTTTGGATAGGGGTAGCTGACAATTTTGGATATAAGCTTCAGATATAGGTTTAGGATAAAAGTTCAGGAGACGTCAAATAAATAGTTTGAGAGCTGAAACTATTGGGACAAGTTAAGAACAGTCTTTTTCCATTTCCATAGCAATATTGTGTAATGTTTATAGAACTAATATATATCTTAAAGAGGGAATCATTGGATCACTAAAAGAAGTATGCAAAATCTGGTATCACATGAAATGAAGGGATAATTATTCCAGAACTTTAGGCTAAGGGAAGTCAGGGAAGAGTGTGCATCTCCTGAAAATGTAGTATAAAGAAAAGCTGAGCAGCTAACATATATATTAGTCATCAAGGAAAGGAAGACAGTTTAGGCAACACAGGTATAAATCAAAGAGGCATGAGTTCTTATCCAGGACTTTCCCCCTACGCTACTAACTACTTGCTTTTTTTCTTTTTTCTTTTTTGAGATGGAGTCTCGCTCTTGTCGCCCAGGCTGGAGTGCAATGGTGAGATCTTGGCTCACTGCAAGCTCCGCCTCCCAGGTTCAAGCGATTCTCCTGCCTCAGCCTCCCGAGTAGCTAAGATTACAGGCACCCACCACCACACCCGACTAATTTTTGCATTTTTAGTTGAAACAGGGTTTCACCATGTTGTCCAGGCTGGTCTTGAACTTCTGACCTCGTGATCCACCTGCTTCGGCGTCCCAAAGTGCTGGGATTACAGGAGTAAGCTGCCATGCCTGGCCCACTACTTGCTTTTTAAAAGATTGGCCATGTAATTTTCACTGGTTTGAGTCAGGGGATAGTACATCCATTTGGTCAGTGCTTCTGCATCTATGGACGTACTGGTGGTGTTTAGATGCATGGTCTGTGGTCCCTGAATGATGATACAAACATGGTAAATTCCACACATAGTGTTTGCATGTTGGGAAGGCTAGTCACTTCTCTTGCTGGCTTATTGGTGTTTTCTCCATCATCCCAGGTGCCTGGGGATCAGCAGAATGGGACTCTGTTCTGGCTCTCTCATCACCCAATGGCATCTGCAAGCAGAGATGATTGCTCTGTTCTCCATGCTTGCATAACCATGTATGGTTCTGGACCAACACCATATGAAGGTCACTGATACATTGTGATTCCAGAAGAAGGGGACCAGGTGAAACAGAGGGGTTGGGATTGCCTGGAAGACTTGTCTCGCTCTGTCACCCAGGCTGGAGTGTGGTGGTGACATCTTGGCTCACTGCAACCTCTGCCTCCGGGTTCAAGCAATTCTCATGCCTCAGCCTCCCAAGTAGCTGGGATTACAGGTGTGCACCACCACACCTAGCTAAGTTTTGTATTTTTAGTAGAGACAGGGTTTCACCAGGTTGGCCAAGCTGATCTTGAACTCCTGGCCTCAACTGAGCTGCTCACCTTGGCCTCCCAAAGTGCTGGGATTACAGGTGTGAGACACCATACCTGGCCCCTTCCTTATATTACAAGTCTTTTTTTTTTTTTTTTTTTTTTTGAGACAGAGTCTTACTGTGTCGCCCAGGCTGGAGTGCAGTGGCACAATCTTGGCTCACTGCAACCTCCGCCTCTTAGGTTCAAGCAATTCTTCTGCCTCAGCCTCCTGAGTAGCTGGGATTACAGGTGCACACCACCATGCCTGGCTGATTTTTGTGTATTCTTTAGTAGAAACAGGGTTTCACCATGTTGGCCAGGCTGGTCTCAAGCTCCTGACCTTGTGGGATTTTTTTTTTTTTTGGTATGGGGAATAAGAAATTCAGGAGGAATATGATAATGTCTTCAAAGATTTTAAGGGCAACTATTTGGAGGAGAAATTGACCTGTTCCTCATTCACACTGACTAACATATTTATATTATATATCACATCTGTATTTATATAGATTTATATTTATAGATATAATACATAAAAATAAAATATTTCTAATAATTTTTGTTACCCAACAATCAAAAGAGCTCCCCTTGGAGAAGTCTCCATATTCAGGATGACTGACTGAACCCTTTGAGCTTAGGCTCAAGTGTGGGATCTGAGATTGAACTGGATAAACAACACCCTCTCGCCTTCTCGCTCCTTCTCAATTTCTCCCCTTCCCCATATCTATGGTCCTCTGTTTCTATCTTGGAGGAACAAAACTACATGAACTTTTTCTAAGTGGGAGTCAGAACTTAGGCCTCTTTCCTGTCAAGAGGCAAACTGTCACTTTGACCCAAGATATTCATAACTCTTCCAGGTGATTAATAGGGGAGTCAAATATCTCTCATTCCTCGAGGCTACTGAGGACCATGTGGTGACTGACCTCATCTGGGCACCGAATGGCACCCCGGCCCCCAGCGATTCCTTCTCTTTGGTGCGGCCCCAGGTCATGGCCGATCAATTTTGCTTTGAGGGGAGGAATGTGAGCACGTCCTCCGCGAAGGCCCAGAACAGACGCTATGTTGTTCTTTCATGACTGCCTTTGCTAAGTGGCTTGTGAACTGAGCCCTTGACAGTGAAGCCAGGCATGACTGGGGAAACTAACTACACAGATGAGCAGCCCCCCTAAGACAAAGGGGGAAAAGTCCAGTGGGTAGGTTGGAGAGGGTGAGCTGTGTCTCAGGAGCTATGGAACAATGCAGCAGTTTCAAACCCAGAGAACCTAACAGGACTTATAGTCTTCTGACCACTTCATTTTACAGGTTAAGAAACTAATGGTCAGAGAGACAGTGACTGCCTTCAAGTCATGCACGAAATTAGCCGTTAGGGGTGAAATTAGGATGAGGCAAATGAGGCACCTACATGACTCTAAGAGGACCCCTCCTTAAACTCTGCACCCAAGACCCCTCACTCAGCTTACCTAATCTTGGCCCTAAGTCCTACACCACCCAGGCTGCGTAACACTTGCCAGTCAAAGACCTTCCTAGAGATTATTATGATATAAATGTTTGTGTCCTCCCCTGGTTAAAATTCATATGTTGAACTCCTAATCCCCAATGTGATGGTATTAGCAGATGGGGCCTTTTAGAAGTGATTAGGTCACAAGGACAGAGTCTTCATAAATGAGATTAGTATCTTTATATTAAAAAAAAAGGACCAAGGGACTATCTTTGCCTCTTCTGCCATGTGAGGATGTATAGAAGGTGCCATCTATGAGGAAAGGGCTCTCACCAGACACTGAATCTGCCAGCACCTTGATTTTAGGTTTCCCGGCTTCCAAAACTGAGAGAAATAAATATTTGTTGTTTATAAGCCTCTCAGTTTATGATATTTTGTCATAGCAGCCCAAACCGACTAAGATAGAGTTTCTATCCATAGAAGGTGCCATGTTTTCTGGCAGATGCACCTGTCCTCATTGGAGCAAAGAAGGGCCTCTGCCTACAAGCAGCCAATGGAAGTCTGGCAGGCAGCTGGGGAGAGCTTGTGTGGTCCACTGCCCCACTGGAGCCTGGGTGATTTCACTGGATGATCAGAGTCTCTCTTGGAAATTTGAACCGTCAATAGGGGAGAGTTTGTAACAGCTGAGAGATGAAGTCAAAGGCGTTCTTGTTCCCCAATTCTTGTTGCTTGTACTGTCCTCAACACATTCCTGTGGTGGAAAGGGAGAGAGAGGTGACCAGTCTTATGCCTCTCCCAAGTGGCTGCTGTGCCACTCACTGTTCAGATTGCTTCCTACCTCATGGGAGAGTGGAGGCGCGGTGGCAGGGGGACCTGCCTCTCCATTCATTCGTTTAACAATTATTGAACACCTCATTATTGCTAGACACAAAGGCCATTAACACTTGGTCCCTGATATTAGGTGCTTACACCTTAGCAGAGGAGACAGAGGCAACAAAAGAGATAATTATATTGCCATTGCCACTTAATAATTATAATGATGAAGAAAGGCAACAGATATTGTTGGGACACTAGGAAAAGATACATATCCATATGGAAAACCTGAGAATAAGTGCGAAACAATGCTTCCTGGAGGAGGTGTTGCCTGAACTGAGTTTTAAAGGGATGAGCAGGACTTCTTCATTCACCAAGTGAAGAGCAAGGGAAGGGCTTTCCAGACTTGATCAAAGGACATGGCTGAGGACCAGCATGGCAGGTGTGGAGGTACTGCAGACAGTTTGGTCGCTATATGAATTGTAAGTGAGGCGGGGCACAGCAAGAAGGAGGCTGAACCTGGTTAGCCCGGCTAAGGAGCTTATACCTCATTTGCCAGGCCAGCTCTCACACACTGGTACTCAAGGCCAGGCATGGAATCTCAGGACAAACTTTATTTGGCCCATAGAAGGTTTTACAGAATTCTGAGTTTGGATGCCTTTAGACAGCCAATCTCCATTTCACCGCAATCCCCACTGCTCCCCATTGCCTACCTATGGACCCGGCACTCATTTCTGTTTCCTCCTGCCTTCTGTAGACTCTAACGATGTGGTGCCTGCTCTGGGGAGTGGAGAGTCTCTGAAGGGTTTCCACCAGGTGATAAGCATGATCATGCCTTTGCTTTACAAAGATTCCCTTGGTGATGATGCAGAGGAGGATGGAGGGGTATCATGGAGACAGACGAGTCCTTTTGGAGGCTGTTGCAATAATCCAGGCAAAAGATGTCAAGGGCCTGCAATTGTGTCCTGGAAGAAAGCATAGTAGGCATGGCAGGATAACCCCACCATCACCCATTGCGGACCCTTGAGGCCTGGGGAAATATGGGAGAAGGTGGTGGGCCTGGAGCTAGCAATTCTATGTCGAGGACCACTTTAAATGACAGACTGTTGTAAGCATCCCTAACCTACTGAGCACCTACTATACCCAAAGGTATGACATTCATAGTCTTCTGTAATTATCCCAACAACCCTGTGGAGCTATTGCTGCCCCTCCCTGCACTATTCTAAGGCTCAAAGAGCTTTCAAGTAGCTCCCACAAAGGATCCTTGCTAAGCGGTTGTCCTGGAATTCAGAGTGAGAATTATGCGATTGCAAGGCTGGGGTTTTGTTCACTACAAGATACCTGTGTGGGTTTATCCTGATGTCATCAGAGTCCAGAGGCCACATTGGACCAGAGTGGTATTTGAGGAGTGTGACCCAGTAGGGGATCAGTATGGACTTTGGCAATTCCCTGACTGAGAAAAAAATAACTGAGAGAAAACTACCCAAGAGGACAAGATGAGAATGTGCATTTGGAGCTTGTTTATTTGGCTTGGAGTCTTAGTCCATCTGGGCTGCTGTAACAAACACCATAGACTAAATTTATTTCTCATGGTTCTGGATGCTGGGAAGTCTAGGATCAAGGTGCCAGCAGATTTGATGTCTGGCAAAAGCCTATTTTCTTTTTCATACGTAGAGCCTTCTAGCTGTGTCCTCACATGGTACAAGGGGCTAGCTAGCTCTCTGGGCCCTCTTTTATAAGGCACTAATCCCAGTTGTGAGGGCTCCACCTTCTAATAGCATTACCATGGGGGTCAGGATTTCAGAATATGAATTTTGGGGGACATAAACATTCAGACCACAGTACTTGGCAAACACCCCTCTACTTTTTCCTCAGAAGATTAGGAAAAGTTTCAAGTTTATTTACACATTAGAACACAAATGCCAAAGCAAGGCTAGATGTTGTACTTTGGGGTCTGCTGGCTATAAAATCTCTGAAGGAGAAACCAGGCTGGAGAGGGCCTCAAGTGGACGGGCCTGGGAGCTCCAGTCCCTAGCTCTGTTCTCTCTGTTCCCCTCCACCAGCTTTAAGGGGAATTAGAAAACCACCTCTATGTCCCAAATGCCAAGCACTCAAAGTCAGTGGTTCTCAAAGTGTGGTTTCCCAACTCGTAGCATCTACACCACCTGAGAACTTGCTTGACCAAATTCTCAGGCCCTACCCAGACCTCCTGATATGGTTTGGCTCTGTGTCCCCACCCAAGTCTCACCTTGAATTGTAATCTCCATAATCCCAACGTGTCAAGGGCAGGACCAGGTAGAGTAATTGAATCACGGGGGTGGTTTTCTCCATGCTGTTCTCGTGATAGTGAGTGCATCTCACAATATCTAATGGTTTTATAAGTGTCTGGCATTTCCCCTGCTTGCACTCATTTTCTCTACTGCCACCCTGTGAAGAGTTGCCTTCCGCCATGATTGTAAGTTTCCTGAGGTCTCCCTAGCCATGCAGAACTATGAGTCAATTAAATCTCTTTTCTTTATGAATAACCCCGTCTTGGGTATTTCTTCATAGCAGCATAGGAATGGACTAACACACTTCCTGAATCAGAAACTCAGGGGATGAGGCCCATCAATCTGTGTTTCAACAAGACTTCCAGGGACTGCGATGTGCACTCAAGTTTGAGAACTACACCAGTAAGTGATAATAAATATGACAACATATTTTTTTGAATGCTTTAATGAACCTTATCTATTTTCCTTGCAATGCCCTGGGCTTCCTCCAAATGAGTAAAGAATTTCTGCAAAGTCACTTAGGGTTCAGCAGAATCCCAGGTGTGGCCAAAGAATGTGCATGGGCAGGTAGACCATCAGTAGGTTAGAACTCAAGTCCCATGATGGCTTTGAAAAAAAATTGATGTTGCTTGATCTGATCTCAGCTTCCAGGGCACCTCTTCAGGGAAGGCTTCCCTGAGCTTCCTGGGCTAAGGTAGAAGCTCCTGTCACATTTTCCCAGAAGCATTCCAAATTTCTGCTTCATCATCACAGTGCTCATCATACTGCAAAAGGTCTATCTGTTTAATCATCTGCTTCCTTCACCCTAAGCTTTTTTTTTTTTTTTTTTTTTTTTTTTTTTTGAGACGGAGTCTCGCTCTGTTATCCAGGCTGGAGTGCAGTGGCTCCATCTCCGCTCACTGCAAGCTCCGCCTCCTTGGTTCATGCCATTCTCCTGCCTCAGCCTCCTGAGTAGCTGGGACTACAGCCACCCGCCACCACACCCGGATAATTTTTTGTATTTTTAGTAGAGACGGGGTTTCACCCTGTTAGCCAGGATGGTCTCGATCTCCTGACCTAGTGATCCTCCCGCCTCAGACTCCCAAAGTGTTGGGATTACAGGCATGAGCCACTGCGCCTGGCCACCCTAAGCTTAGTGAGGGCAGAGACTCTGGTATTCTTGTCCTTGAATCCCTGGAATCTAGCAGAAGGACACTTAGTAAATATGCATTTAGTTAGTTGAACACCAAGCTCACCTTTGCCTGTGGGGCCTTATGCTATCCCTCAGCCTGAATTCTTTCTCCCCAGATTCTGTGTGGCTTGTTTAGCTTCTCATTCCAACCATAGCTGCTAGGTCATCATCTGTTGACCACCCAACCCAACCCGGGCACTACGTTGGTCTCTACCATCCCCAACACTTTGTATTCAACACGGCACTTGATCACTGTTCCATAGTCTGCTGATTATTTTATGTTCTGACTCCTACTTCCTAGAGTGCAAGTTCCCTAGTCAGGGGCTGGTCTATCTTGCTCAACTCCACCCTCAGCACATTAAATCCCTCAGTAAATGATTTTTGAATGATGCATGACTTTTTACTGACTCATTTGTCAAAACACTCTGACATTATCTATGTATGATCATTTTAGAGATTGAGGAAAATAAACTCAAGAACTGGTGACTTGCCCAGGTCACACTACTGGTGGGTAGCAAAACAGCAGCTAGAATCTATAGCTTCTGGCTTTCCAGCCAGTCCTTGTTCCACTACATTCATTACTTCTTTGCTGGACTGAAAAGCTTAGGACTTTTCCTGTAAGTAATACGGAGCCATTGAAGATCTGAAGTTTCAAGGAAGTGGTAGGATGGATTCTCTTTTACTATAAGGTAAGTGCCTCCCTCTCCCATTTTGCCACATTGACTGATCTTATTTCAAAGCCATCTGTTTTTCCACCTGGGGGTCACAAAGTTACTGCCTCACACCATAAATCCACCGTTGGCATTTCCGTGCAGCTGTGTTAGTTGACAGCTCTGCATCACCAGCTCTGTGAAGATGTGGGAAAGCTGGTGCTGTCAGATTCCATCAGCAGAAGATAACCTGTGATTGCTGATGGTTGCACTAATTTACCTGCACTGTCGGGGAGGCCCTTCTGCCCTGTCTGGCATTTCCAGGGAAAGGTACAGTGGAGATAGAGACGTCACTTCAGGAGGCAGCTGATTTATGTCAGAGGATTAATATGACCCTATATCAAGTTCAAGTTTTGGTCAATCAACTCAGAGCCTCATAAACTTTAGAGAAAGGTAACCCCTTTGCTGTTACTTTGGCCCAAAAGAAGAGCACCAATCTTCATTAAAACATGTTTGATAACTGCACAAGGGGGAAAGGATTGATTAAACCAAGTGTAGTACTTTCATAGGATGGAATATTATGTGGCTATTAACATTTGACTTAAAAATAGGTAGAAATAACTGGATTCTTATAATAAATTGGTTAGAAAAATTGGTTACAAAATGTAAAGCACCAAATGAGCCTATGTTTGTTTTGGAAAAGTATAGATGGATAAATGAATGGGTGGATGAATAAAAAGATCATCGATATGTAAACAAATGTATAGTTAGATGGACAGACAGATGATTAAGATAGAAAGACACCAAAGAAAGCGTGGAAAGGCCAACATAAATATGTTAATAGTGGTTATATCTGGATGGCGGGATTAAGAGCAACTTTAAAAATCACTTACCTTTATTTCCTGGTTATTTAATAATAAACTTATATTGCTTTTGTTAACACAAAAGCATAGCTATTAATAACAACAATTCTAATATTCGGAATCAAGAGCTCATCTTTTACCTATGCGTCCTCTTTATACCCTCTTTACTCTTGTTACATGAATGTTCATAATACCCATTCATTCATCCATCCATCCATCCATCCATCCATCCAACCATCCAGGAGGTAGAATCTATCTGGACTTCAGGATGGTATTTAAATAATCCCTCAAGAAAGTTTTATATTGATTTCAGTTCCTCTCATGCCTCTGGGCTATTTTATTCTTCTTGTTGTTGTTACTCTTCTAGACCATGGAGCCCCTTTCTATATCCCATCATGCCAGCCTTTGTACTCTTGGTCAATTTCTACTCACGCTCTAAGACTTTCTTCAGACCTCACCTTTCCCTCTTTCCTCTTGTTGCTTTCATCCCCTCCTTCTACTCCCTCCTCCCTCATGGCCTTTGTTCTCCAATTGCACCTTGTACTTTGTACTCTGCCACCCTTTGTACCCCCGGTCAATTTCTACTCACGCTATAAGACTTTCTTCAGACCTCACCTTTCCCTCTTTCCTCTTGTTGCTTTCATCTCCTCCTTCTACTCCCTCCTCCCCCATGGCCTTTGTTCTCCAATTGCACCTTGTACTTTGTACTCTATTTGAAACTTTCCAATATGTATAGTTATTATCTATGTACTTGCTGTCTCTTGATTAGACTTGGTGCTTCCTGATGCAGAGACTATGTCTTTCATCTCTGCACTCAGGGCCTAACTGCCTAGTAAAAGCTAGTCTGCTTCTCTCACAAGTATGTTTCTGTCAGCCTAAACAGAAGATTGACCAACAACCTTTATACCATTCATTTAATCAACAGGCACTTACTAAGCATCTACTATATCCGAACCACAGAGATTAGTAAGACACAGTTTCTTCCTCCAGGGGCTCACAGCCAGGTTGGGGAGGCAGACATGGGCACATGAAAAAGAACCATAAACAGGCCGCCATAGGATGTCAGAGTCCTATTTCAGCCTAGAGAGAGGGCCTTCTAGGAGTTCAAGAGACCCCTATAGGCTGTCTGGACAGGGGAGAGACTAGATGGCAGGGGGAGGCAGTTAAGGTTTGAACAGAGACTTCAAAGAAGAGAAAGAGAATTTAGACAAACACGAGGGATGAGGGATGGCATTCCAGGTAGGGGGCACTGTGTGGCAAAGGAGCAGAGGTGGTGGGCTCCTGGCTTGTTATGAGTGTCCAGGCTGTGGGAGCTGAAAGGGCATCAGAATTAGTGTCAGCCCCTGGGGTTATGTCTAGCTAGGATCATTTAGAAGCAGTGCGACTTCTCAGAGCCTCAGCTTCTTCACCCATGAATTAAATATTAAATTATCTGCTTTATCTGTCCTATAGGGAAGTTGGGAGAATCCAGTGACTCACGGTGTGTGGAAATTTTTTGTAAATTGTAAAACAATACACTTATGTAATTCACAGAATAAGAATAATCAGCAATATGGCTGGAGGAAGGGATTTATAAGGAAAGAAAACACTTAGGCATGTTGGAATATTTAGAGCAGGGTTTGGGGAAGGCCTTAAAGATTCTGACTCTGACTTTTCCATTTAGCTCTCATGATCCCCAGTACCATTTCTCTTGTGAATTCATTGATCTGGTCCAGCCTGGGTTAGGTGCCCCACCTCATGTTCCCAATATCCCACTTACTTAGTAAGATAGCCTTTTAATTTCTGTTAACATCTATCTTCCCAGCCAGGCTGGGAGTTCATTGAAAGCACACATCTTACTTTATTCATTTTGTAGCCTCAGTGTCTAGCACATTATCTGGCACACAGTCGGGATTCAGTAGATGTCTGTTAGTGATAACTGTTTTAATGGCTACTCTTCATGAAGCGCTTACCAGTTGGCAGTCATTTTGATAAGCACTAAACAAGAATTTGCTCATCATCACAACAACCCTTATTCCCATTTTGCAAATAGAAAAAGTGAGTCATAGGAGGCTTAAATAACTCAGTCAGTTTCACTCAACACATGAGCATTGGAGCTAGAATTTAAGCTGAGGTCCTGAGGTTTCTGAGTGCCATATGTTTCTTGTGAATTCATTCACTCATTCATTCCACCAATAATGATCGTGTGCCTGTCTCGTGCCAGGAACCATTACAGGCTGAAGGAATGTGTCTGGAAGAAGTGATAAATGGGATATCAGATAATCTCATGCTCGGTGAAAATGTGAAACGTATGTGTGACCAAAGTACAGAGCATCCCAGAGGTGTGGGCAACTCAGCTGCGGGTGGGGGTGGAGAGAAGCCTCCAAGAGAAGAGGAAGAGAGCCAAGGGCATTCCATCCAGGTAGAAGAAAGGGCAAGTGGGAGGACACCAGGGTGGGGTGTAGCAAGTTGAGTCTGGATGTTGCAGTGAGTCTTCCTGATTAGACAGTGTACTTCTTGAAGGTGGAAACCGTGTCTTAAACATCTCCACTTTCATAACCCTGCACAATGCCTGCATCTGGTTGCTCAGTGAAAGCTTGGTGGATGACTGAGATGGGTTTCTACATTTTGAAAACAGAGCAAACCTCAAATTTCAGAAGAACACTAGAAGGCCGCACGAGAAAATGACTCCAATTTGCAAGGGGCAGCCAAGCATTACCAGAAGGAAATGAATTTGTGTATTTACTAAGAATCTCTTTGCTTGGCTCAGAATATCCTCAGATCTCCATCTCAAACCTGCTCTCCTGTTAAGAGAATGCACGACAAATTCTGTCTAAAGTACTTTGGCTTTTGCAAGTTGCTAGGATATTAATATATTTATCCACAACCACAGACACTTGGCTCAAGAACAGCCCACTCAGCCCTCACTTGAGGCTAGATCATGGGGATTCAATCAACATGAGGTCCTGAAGGGGCTTTTAAGTCAGCCAGGGACGTGGTCATTGCTTGGAGGTGCCACAGCTGAAGTTTTTCTCCAGGTTTGGTGATAAGAAGTTATTTTTGTTAAGTTGATTTGCTTTGGCCTCTTTTGAGGCTTCATATTCAGTTGTGATTTGCACCTGCCTTTTTTAACCTAAAAACACATGTGAAGGAGAGGAATGGAGGCATATTTTCCCACTCCACAGTCCCTGGGCTTCCAAAATGGGGATGCTTTGGGTCTAGATGTCCTCAAGGAAAATAGGACACTTGGGTTTCGGGGCTCATTACGTGGATGTGAAGGAAATATGGCCTAGAACCTGTTGATATTGTAGCCCAAGGGTCACATACTAGAAGACCACTACCTCTACAATGATTTCAGTGGTGGGCGTGGGGAGGGGAAGGGAACAGGCAGGGCTGTCTTTTGTTAAACTGTAGGATATAGGGATGACTCATGACCTATACAGGGCCAGGCATTTAGCTTTCACATGCCTCAAACACAAATCAATTTGACTACACAAGGGGAAAGCAAAATAAACTCACTTCCTGATTATTTTTTCTTTGGAGGGGGGTCTTGCCTTGTTACCCAGGCTGGAGTGTAGTGATGCAATCATGCCTCACTGCAGCCTTGACCTCCAAGGCTCAAGAGATCCTCACACCTCAGCCTTCCGAGTAGCTGGGACCACAAGCATACACCACCATGCCAGGCTATTTTTTTTTTTTTGGGGGGGGGAGACAAAGTCTTGCTATGTTTCCCAGGCTGGTCTTGAACTTTGGGCTCAAGCAATCCTCCCTCCTCAACCTCCCAAAGTGTTGGGATAACAGGCATGAGCCACCATGCCCAGACCTATTCTTTTTTTTTTTTTTTTTGAAGAGCTGCAACCTTCTGTTGGCATCACCAACAAGCATCATTTTTTGAGGCTCTCTTCATATAGACCCTGAGACTACAAAGGCCAGCACTGGTTCCTACCTATCGTGGTTGTATAATAAGTCACAAAGGTGTGCCATCCCACATTCCCACAGAGATGATAAAAAAGAATCTTCCCTCTGACTAAACTTATTACTTAAATGGATAAGTGATTGTCTATCAAATTATTGGCAGCAAGAGTGGCTTAATATCAATACTTCTGAAACTTTATTTTGAGCTGGCAACTACAAAAACATAACTGTCTCATAGCCCATAACCCTTACAATAGCTCAAGTTTTTTTCCTGGTAACTTTAGTAATATAATTGGCAACTAATTTAACCTGGAAGATTTATTGGCAAGTTATATCGCTCAAAACTGCATGTTTATGTCATAGTTTTAACTATAACTTAAAATAATTCTGTATAATGAAATGGGGGATATATATGGGAATAAATTCTATGCCATTGATTTCAATTTGATTTTCCAAATTGTAATGTTTGCCTTTGTGCTATAGGAATAGGATTAAATGGGATAAGACTAGAATTTATAAGGGCTGTATAAGAGGGGAGGGCAGAGATGAAACAACGAGGGTTATGATGATAGTGAATAGCAAAGAGTGAATTCTGTATGTTTTTGCTGTGGCACTGAAGTGAAGAGATACTAGCTTTGGCTGTTCACAAAATAGGACATCATGATTTTCAGTGTTTGAGAGAAAATTGATGGAAAAAGTTTGCAGTACTTGACGTGTATTTGCATGCACAAAATAAAATTATTTGTCCACCTTAAAAAAAAACTGCATGTTCCATGACACTTTACTAAAATATTTATTAGTGGACAGATAACTCCTACTTTAAAAAGTGTTCAGGTCTAAATCATTTGACTATACTCAGTGGTTTATATGAGCTTTCCCCAAAGCTTCCTTTGCCAAACAGAGTCCCCCAAGAAGATCATATGTGTAGAGGAGATCAGTTATCTGACTAACTCTGTGCTTGGTTTTGGCCATGAGGCTGCACAGAATCAAACGGATCATTCATTGATAAACATCATGAGGGTTCTTATAATTTTTTCTGAACATCCTGATTTATGTCTCATAATTTGATTTTAACATTTTAAAATCTTATAAAAACATAAAATTATGGCTTTTTTTTTTTTTTTTTACCATCACCAGTGATGCCTCCAGGCCCCTTCTTTTATTAAAGCCTAAAATGAGCCTTTTTATGTTTTTCACAAAAACACAACAAAACAAGATTCTACTATTCCAGTTCTGTTCTTGTTGAATTTAAGACACAATCTCTGACCTCAAAGTGGCCACAGAGAAAGGGCAGAAAACGATTTTCTGCACTGCACTTTTACCAATGGAAACTGGAGAAACAATACATACTCATGTGAACTCAGGTGTGTTGTAGCAGCTTTGTCAGGTCTGGTATGTTATAGAAATGTCTGTTAATCATATAAGTATAAATAGCATGATAGGCCCACAAAGCAAAGCCAAAATTGTCCATAACTGGTCTTCTGCTAGTTTCCAGACATGATTTCCATACAAGGATCCTCTGCTCCAGCCCAGTTGGAGTTTTCCCAGTGGTGAACACCTCTTCTACATCACCACCTCTGCCCACCTCTGCCTCCTTCATCCCCCTTCTCATCTACCCTGACCCAACCCTCTCCCTCCTTATATGTATTCACTCATTCAATCACGTATTCATTTGTTCTTTTAATTGATATCTACATCTATCCACATCCAATATCCACATCCAACTGGCAAGCAAGTGGTATCTGTTTCCTATTAACCGGAGTAGAAGTCTAAGCGCTTGTGCCCACTGCATGTTGGTATTGAAATTGCCACGAAAAACACAACACAGTCAAGCACTGGATGGAACAGAACTTTACTCACACAGAGAAGAGACAGAGCAAGATCTGCTTCACTAGTGGGTGTCAGTATCCCATGGACAGCAGGTCCATCCCAGTAGCTGACACAGGCCATTGAATGACCCCTCTTATGCTGCAGCAGAAGGGCCCATCCCCTGCCTGCAAAGGACAGATACAGTAGCGAAGTTTCTAAGTGCCATATGATGCATGCCCTTAAGCAAAGCAAAAGAGTACAAACAGAAAAAGATATTCCCACAAAAGGTGATAAGTCCAGCACAGGCTGAGGATTCTTTATTTCTTGGTAAGGAAGTCTTCCAGGCCCAATGCGCATTCTTAGGTGGCCAAGCAGGGGTGGAAAGACGGCATGCAAGAGACTGCCTTTCCCAACATACATCCCCACCTTTATCCACATTTGTACCTGCATCCATATCTACCCATATCCATATCCATTTCCATATCCATGTCTATGTCATCTCCCAGGTTGCTATCACTTGTTTTCAGTTATGTTCATCTGCCTGGTCTTGATTCATTTATTTTGATGGTGTCTTTTTTTCTCCTATATTACACCATGAGTTTCTTAGAGATAGTAGCATGATTTACTGATTTCTGCATCTTACACCAGCACACAGTAGATCCTTAAGGATTTGAAGATATTGGGGAAAGCAGCACCTTTGTCAGGCATTGTTCTGGCCAGTTAGGCCGCATCACCTTATTTTAACCCTGGTTACTCTATGACCTTGTCTCACTTCTGACCTTTGCACTGGCCGTCCCCAGGTCTGCCTACGGTTGGCTTTTTCTTTTCATTCTTATTTAAATTCAAAAGTCATTTTCTCTGAGAGTCCCACCCTGACCACCTGATCCAGGGATCCCAACCTGATTCCCCCACAAAGTCATTCTATATCCCAGGGTCCTCTTTCATTCTCCCCATAACACCTATCAATTCCTGAAGTTAGCTTTTTAATGAATTTATTGATTTGTCTATTGTCTGTCTTTTCCAGCCCCTTTCCCAATTAAAATATAAGCCCCATGGTGGCAGGGGTTAGCTTGTCTTTTTTGAGGCTGTGTCTGCAGCTTAGAGTAACGTCTGACACACAGTAGGTGCTCACTTATCATTCAGTGAAAGAGTAACCTCAAGCGGAGGCTATTACTATACCATTTTTTTTTTCGAGATTGGGTATCGCTCTGTCACCCACGCTGGAGTGGAGTAGCATGACCTTGTCTCACTGCAGCCTCCACCTCCCGAGCTTAAGCAATCCTCTCACCTCTGCCTCCCAGTTAGCTGTGTCCACGGGCACACCCAGCTATTTTTTTTTTTTTTGTATTTTTGGTAGAGATGGGGTTTTACCATGTTGCCCAGGCTGGTCTCAAACTCCTGAGTTCAAGCAATCCAACTGCTTCGGCCTCCCAAAGTGCTGGGATTACAGGCGTGAGCCACCTTGCCTGGCCTATAGCAGTTTTGGAGATGAGGAAGCTGAGGTTCATGACAAGGCCCATGTCGACAGATCTGAGATCCAAAGCCCTTTTCAAAGCCCAAGTCTCTTACAGGACGAGAGACTGCCACTTACCAAGCACAGTGGATACGTTGATAGAAATATGATGCTTCTACTTTAATCAGACTTTCTGATGTTTCTCTTTTTCCCTTGTCTGTTTTGAAACTGTAGACAAACAGGCATGTGAGTCTCTAATTCCAGAAAGTTTTATTTACTAGCATAATAATAAAAATAATAGCTTCAAAGTATGCTAAGAACTTTGTATACACTATTTCACTTAATCCCCACAACAAGCCTATTAGAAGGATAATTTAATCTCCTTTATACACATAGAAAAATAAAATTCAGGAAGATAAAATACCCTACCTAAGGTCAGTGGTATCAAAACAAGAATCAGAAGATACAAGCAGTAGCTGAATGTAGTGGCTCATGCCTATAATCCTAGCACTTTGGAAGGCTGAGATAGGAGGACTGCTTGAGACCAGAAGTTTGGGACCAGACTGGGCAACATAGTGAAACCCTGTTTCTACAGAAATTAAAAAAAAAAATTATCCAGAGGCATTGATGTGCACCTGTAGTCTTAGCTATTTGGGAGGCTGAGGCAGGAGGATGGCTTGAGCCCAGGAGTTCAGGGCTGCAGTGAGCTATGATTGCACCACTGCACTCCAGCCTGGGTGACAGAGTGAGACCCTGTCTCTAAAGAGAGAGAGAGAAAAAAAAATACAAATGGCTTAATTTGAGAAGTGAGTGATAAAAGACTAAGGAAACCAAGACTCAAACTCACATCTCTTTGCCTAACCACAGTGCTAGAGTAAACACTCCCTAAAGGCAGGCTCTGAACTGGGTACCAAGGATACGAAGACTCATTCCCTGACCTCAGCAAGCTCATGGTCTAGAAAAGGAGGACCCAATTTGGACAGGAAACAAACCAGGCACAAAACAAGGGGAAGAGGAGAATGGAGAAGGAGGCCTATGGGGACATGCTGGGCTCCTGCAACCTTAATGGTGGTAAATATAAAAGGGACTGACCTTCTAGTTTTTCAGTGTAACACCAGAGCTGTAGAGGGAGAAGGGCCACTAGGAGATTCCATTTCAGTGATGTAGCCAGCAGGAAAGCCCCCATAAGTGAGAGCCTGGAGAAGTATCTCCTACCCTGGACTGTGGCAGGAGGGAAAAAGAGCAGTCACTGTAGGGTGAATAGAGTGGTCCTTAGATTTAGTGTTTTACTTCCCCTCCCAGCCTTGAGCCAGCTGCTGTGACTCATGGCTCTTTGGCTGCAGGAAACCCGTTACAACCTAACTTTCTGCCTAGGTCAATTGGTTTTGGTTTCATTTTCTAGTCTGGAGTATGATCATGTTGTCTATTAAACTCAGAAATTTTCTTGACATTTTCAGTTTCATGCAGAATGAAAAAGAAGTGGTCTTGTGACAATGTGATCACCTTGCTGAATGTTCTAGAGCTAACCAGTGGGACAAGGGACAAGGGCTTCCTTATCAGGATGGAGTCTCGGTCTGTGAAGCCAGCAGTCCCAGTATTTGAAAAAAAAGTTGTCTCAGTCAGTGTTCTAGCAAAAAATGGATGGTACACTCAAACTGTGTAACTTGGAGGGAATTTAAGGAAAAGATCATTTACTTAGATGCAAAGGAAACTCTGGGGCTTATAACAGCAGGCAGTCATTACCTTCCCTATCTCTTAAAAGGCAAGAAGAGGGAGCAGTTCCTGGAACAAAAAGACGGGAGTTGTAGGGAGAGGGCTCCCCAAAAAGAGGCTGCCTTCATGAGAAGAAAGCAGCCAAGCCCTAGCAAAATCCTAAAAGGAGGGAGCAGGGAGAATAAATCCCCCATCCTCACTCTCCTGCCACTCCCTGCATCTCTTGCTGGTAACTTGCAAAGGCTGGGCACAATTGGGAGCTAGAAGGCAAGGGAGATCATTGATGGGGCCCATGCAGGTCGGCCTCCTAGGGTGCAGAGGTGGGTACAGAAGGGTAGGGAGATCTGGAGAGCCATGGAAACTCATGTAACATGTAACAATAGTTATGGCTGGTTGACAATAACTATACAAAGAGTGTCGATTGTGGTAGACAACTGCCATTGACTACTCAGGATACATCTGGCCCTTTCAAAGCACTTTTATGAACTAGCTCTTTTGATTCTCACAACAAGCCCTTAAGGTGGGCACTGTCCTGGACCCATTTTCCAGACAGGGAAACCAGGGATGAAAGAGGTTAAGCATTCGCTGGGAAATGAAGGAGTATGAACTCAAACCCAGATGGCTGTGGTTACAGATCCAGTGCTTGTTGTCCACTGGATGGGCCCATCTTACCCAAAATGATAACCGAGGAGCTAGGTCCTCAATCATTGCTGAAGGGTAGGGACATGAGTATGGCCTGGGGAACAAGAGGAAATAGTTCCATAAGCATTGTTTAGCATAAATGAGATCAAACAAACATGCTTCATTTAAAAGATGTTAAAATATCACCCAAGTGGGTGGGGGTGGGGAGACAGAACCAGAGAGAACGAGCGAGAGCGAGCATGCACCAACTGCACGTAGGATACGAGCCAAATGTCTAATTATAGCTGATAAGGCTCCTCCTGATCTGTGCCCTGCCTACTCATCTTTCCCTGTTCCCCGTGGGGCACTGTGTCCCAGCCAAAGGAAACTCTACTTAGTTCTCAAAATAGCCCTAGGTCTTCTGCCTGGGACAGTTCACCCCACCTTGTATTCGCCCACCTCAAATCCTATTTATCTATTGGGTCCTAGTTTTGGCCTTTCTCTTGCCTTTCTTCCTCTCTCCCTCCTTCCTTCCCCTAGCAAACACTTATCGGCATCGGGTGTGTGCAGATATAGTGGTCAGTGTTGCAGACCTGGGTCAATACTGGTCCCTGCCTTTATGGAGTTTCCACGAGGAAATCTTCCCTCCACGCCCAAGTGTAGGCTGGGGAGTCCTCCTTTGTGTTTTTGCGGCCTCTCTTACTCTGTTGTCTATCACCTGGTTTCGTGCCTGTCTCCTCTCTCAGACCATAGACTCATGAGGTTGGGACTCTGTCTGATTCTGTGGGTGTTCATTTCCTATCACTCCTGTAACAAATTACCACAACTTCACAGCCTAAAACAACACAAATTAATAATCTTACAGCTCCAGAGGTAAGAAGCTGGACACAGGTCTCACTGGGCTAAAATCAAGGCAGTGGGAGGCTTTACTGCTTTCTGGAGACTCTAGGGAAGAATCCATTTTCCAGCCTTTTCAACTAGAGGCTGCCTGCATTCCTTGGTTGATGGCCCCTTCCTTCATCTTCAAAGTCAGCCAAGGCTGGTGGGGTCTTTCTCACATCACATTTGGACATTGATTCTTCTGGATGCTGATTCTTTTGCCTCCTTCCTCCACCTTTTAAGGACTCTTGTGATTACATAGGCCCACTCAGATAAAGTCAGCTGATTAGCATCCTTAATTCCATCTGCATCCTTTATTGCCTTTTGCCACATTCCAGGGATTGGGACATGCTAGTAGGTGAGGGCAAAAATGGAATGTCTGAATATGCAGGATATGCATGTGTGTGGAACACATAGAATCTCTATATATGTCAAAGGCATGTGTCCAAGTAACACATGTAAGTATGTTGCATGTCCGCAAGAGCGCATGTGGACGTGTGTGGTTTAGGAGGTATACACTGCCTGATCGCATTAGTTGTGGTCATATGCATGTATGTGTGTTGTGAGGCGGGAGGACCACTTGAAGGAGGAAATATAAACATGCATAGGCTACCAAGTACTATTTTTCTGAGAGTTGTGAAATATTTGTGGTTTTTTCCCCATTATGGACACTTGCACTGCAGAGACCTGGATTTCTACGCTCATATTCACATGTACTGGTGACCACCCTCAGAGTGAAGGCAGCGTCCTCTCTGGGCCAGTAGCTCTTCTAGAAGGGCCTATATGAGTCAGCCTGCAACTCAGACATATTCAGTGCTGCAGGCAATGAAATCAATCAGAGCCTAGTTTCCCATTGTCCTGTGAAGGTAAAAGCCCCTGGCATGGAATCCTATTTAAATCCCCAGCTCATCCGTTAGCTAATTTCACAAATCCAAGAGCAGCAGAGCCTTAAGGATCATCTAACCTGCACCCTTCATTTAACAGATGGATAGGGCTTAAAGAGTGGGAACTTGTGCAGGTTGATGCGACCAACCAGAGCAGAATAGGAGGAGGGACCCCTATTACAGTTAAGATCTTTATGAGCTGACTATTGCTTGAGGTCAGGAATGTTGCATTACATGCTCCTAAAACATTAGGCTTCTGTAGAGCCCCCTGCTCCCCAGGTCCTCATGTCTCTAAGAGATAAAACCCAGAGATGGTGTTTCTAGACACAGCCTCTTCATTCCGGAGAGAAGCTTCTACTCACAATCTCGGTCAGATTTCTCACACAGGGAGCTTGGCTGGACATTCTAAAAACCTCAAGGAATTTTTTCAACCCATCTCTTAAAGCTTAGGCCCAAGCTAGAGCAAAACTGTAGCTTCTTGCTCAGTGTTCTTTGGTTCTGTGCTGGTCCCCTCAGCATTCCCAAGCATACATTCCTCACCCATATATATATAAACCGATGTGTTTATGCAACAATATTTCGGGTTCCTACTGAATATGGCCTCTAATGCTAGGTGTCAGGCACACTGTGGTGAACAAACTGACCTGGATCCTAGCCCTCAAAGGGGTGTATAATCATAGAACTTCCAGGTTACATCCAACTCCAGTCAGCCCCAAAGCTGTTTCACTTTTATTTATTTATTTATTCTTTTTATTTTTTATTTTTTGAGATAGAGTCTCGCTCTATTGCCCAGGCTGGAGTGCAGTGGTGCGATCTTGGCTCACTGCAACCTCCTCCTGCCAGGTTCAAGTGATTCTCCTGCCTCAGCCTCCTGAGTAGCTGGGATTACAGGCATAAGTCACCACACCTGGCCCTGCTGTTTCACTTTTAAACACAAGAGGGGAGAGAGAGAGAGAGAGAGAGAGAGGGAGAGAGAGAGAGAGGTGGACACCTGCATAGGAGTGAGAGTGAAGTGGGCAAAGAGAAAAGAGATCATGACAGCAAGAAAAAGACATCAGAGGCACACAAAGACCCAGAGGGAGACAGTGTGGTGGAAGGCTTGGCTGTAGTTGTGTGCACGCTGCTGTGACATCAGTGAAGCACAGCGGGTGTTCTGTAAATGGTCATGCCCTTCCCTAATAAGGCTGAGAGCAGAAACCATTCATTTATTCTCATGCTCTCAATGGATATTTATTGAGCATCCACAGTGTGCTAGACACTGCACCTGGCACATGTCGCATCCCTAACTTTGACCCAGGGGTCTACAGAGCAGGTCCTCACACCCCACCCCTGTACTGCAAACAGAGCAAGGGTGCTAATCCCTATCATACAGACAGGGGTTGGGCAGACCCCTGAAGTCACCTCCCACACAGAGTTAAGAGTTCTTGTACGACAAGGATGCTGGCTTCAATGCCTGGCATAGAGTAGGCTCTCTGAAGAGTGAGTTTGCATGAGTGAATCAAGCACTGGAATTTAGGCCTCTCAGACCTGAGAATCCTTACTGTCTCATTCAAGTCTTAGCAGGGGGACCCCTGCCCTCAACCCCAGAGCCTCTTTGCTATCCTATTCCTAAATGAAACATGTGCCAACAGGCACAAGTGAGATCATCTTGGAAGCATCCTGGGACTTCCTCCTATGCAACAGAAGCTGAGTCAGGGCCAGATCAGAGTCGGGGGAGGTGGGAGCCTGAGCCAGGCTGGCGCTTACTTTAATTCCTCACGTTTAAGGGACATGACAAATTTAGGCTTGACCCTACATGGGTCCAAGGGGATGGAGGTACTTGGTGGCAGGAGGATCCAGACAATCCGTGGCACCTGGAGTTAGGGGAGGTCCAAGCTGATTTCCCTTTTATTCTCCAAGGGGATCTCTGAAGGGGACACAATTTGCTGCCTATAATAGCAGCCCCTGCCCTGTTCCAGTCTCCTCAGTCACCCTCAGACCTAGACAAAGCTCTATCCATGGTGTTCCAAGCAATGCTGGAAGCCATGTGTTCACCCTCATCACCACGAGCACATCCCCACATGGGCCTCTCTTGAAACAGGCTCAGTAAGGCCTCCTATGTCCGTCTTAAGTCTCTCCCATAGGCCAGACTCTACAATGGGTAGAAGGGATATAGTGTGAAGATGTGTACAAGCTGCTTCAGAAATACTTGGAGGGAGCAGCACTCTGCTTAGGGGAATTCAGGAAGGCTTCATAGAGGAGCTGGGGTTTGAATTGGGCCTTTAAGCATAAGGAGGGTGTTTTTTTGTTTTGTTTTGTTTTGTTTTTCCAGCTAGAGAAGAGGGAGAAGAGCACCCTAAGTCAAGGGACCAGCATGAAGCACAGAAGAGCATGGCAAGTGTTTCAGGGAGTGGCCACATGTCAAAGGGCATGTGGATGTGGCCATTGAGTGGCAGAGCAAGCCTGGGACTGGCTCAGGGAGGGCTCTGAGTGCCACGCTCCAGGTCTTGGACCAGCTGCATAGGGTGAGAGGAACATAGGTGGTTTCTAAGCAGGGAAGCAATGATACTGCGGTCAGAACACTCTTGTAGCTCTGGAGGAGATTCTTTTCATGGGGGGTAGAGAGAGTGAGATTTGATGGAGACCAGCAAGGAGGCTGTAGCACTGGTCTAGGTGAGGGGCAGTAAGAGTCTGAATGAGGCAAATGGCTGTGGGGAAAGAGAAAGGTGGACAAATTTGAGAGATATTGGGCAGATAGAATAAACAGAACTCAAGGCCTGATCAGATAAGACAGCAGAGAGTTAGAAGGACTCCAGGCTTCCTGCAAGGGCTTTTGGGGATGATGGTGTCACCAGGTGGGGAATTTGGAGAGAGAACAGATTGGGGAAAAGAGCAAAAATTCCATTTTGAACAGGGTGGGTTTGAGGTTTCTGTCTGATATCAGGTGAGATGCTATGGCACCATAGGTGGTAGCACTATCCAGAGGTGGATGGAGGGAGAGGTTGTACAGAAACAAGCGAGGCACTGAGAACCATATAACAATGAGAGAAAGAAACTATACACCATCTTTTTGAGCCTCCATGTCTCCTAGAATTCAGGATTGCTATTGGTAGAAAGATTCTTCAGTCTTCAAACCAAATATGCAGACATCAAGATTAGGTTTACACCTTCTGCCTGAAACAAACATTTACCTATCCCAGAATCCCAAGATTTTGCTAAAACATACTAGCCTTTCATTTTAAAAATCTTTATTTCCTTAAAACACAACAAATTTCAGTCTGTGGTTGGAGGCAGAAAGAGCTCAACCTAAAATGAAAGCTCAGCGTTTGAGGCAGCCCTTTTCACAGCTGGCTCTTACCTACATGATATTGTCCAAAATTCCTTGTACAAGATTAGCAGATTTTCTCTGTATTACCAATTTACATATTTTTCTTCCAGCCATCAAAAAGAGTATTTCAGGATTTTAAAATTTCCTTCTGGCATGGTACACAATAAGGAATAGCAACATGGTCCCTGGTCACCGAGGCTCCCATGTGCCTAGGAGAAAATGTTTATGGTACAATTTAGCCTGAAGCAAATCCACCGTCAGCATTTTCATAAACCTCACAGAAAGAAGAAACAAAAGCTGTTAAAATGTGAAAATAATTAGGGAAGAGACTTTCCCAGGGAACGAACATGGCCCACACTATACAGAGGGAAGAATAAACAAACTTTGGAGAGGTTATGGAGCTGTAAAACCCTTGTTTATTTCTGAAAAAAGAAATAAAGTTGGAGAAAAGCCACTAGGTCTGCATAATAATAAATCGCGTTCCAGGGGGCGGGGAAGGAGGAGTGAGACCGTAAATTCAGAGTCAAAAACAAAGCAACATTCCAGCACACGTCCCTGGTGGCGTGTGAACCTGCGCCGTTTGCTTTCTGGAGAGATCTGGCTCCTGCCAGTGTCAGTGTCCTTGCAAAGTCAAAGTACCCTGCCTGGTTGCTCCTTGGGGTGGTCACCCATCAGAAAAGCATTTGGCTTGGGTTAAGATTTCTAAATCAAGTCTTAGGGTTGTTCAACTTTCAAAAAGAAAGAAAAAAAGCAAAACACCCTAGTTCCCTCTTCTCGAGCTGAACTTTCCACAGCAGTTTCAGCGCTGACAGAAACTGCAAGGAGCTCAGTGAGGCGCGGCCAGGGCCGGCCCAGGAAGGCCCTGGAGGAAATTCCCATAGCCCGGTGCCCTTGGAAGGGGAGCTCCCTAGGCCTCTTCCCACCCTAGGCTGTGAGTAAATTTGCCTGTGAAAGGTCACAACGGTCTCTTGGCTAAGGGATTTTTCTCCAGGCAAACACCCCAGGTTTCTGGGAGAGACAGGTACCGTTTCCTGAGAAGTCAACCTCCTAGAAACACCGAGAATAACTGAAAACCCTGTGCCTTATAAAATGAGCACAGGGGTGGGGCACCAAGCTGCAGTTTTCACAAGTGGTGAAGAGCCCAATAACATTCTTTGCTTCAGATCTGTAGACTTTTTTCTGTGTTTTTAAATGGAAATTCAAGTGAAGGAATTTAATTCATTGAATATTGACTGAGTGCCTACTACCTGCGTATGCCAGCTTCAAAAGCACTGTATTATATATTCCGCATAACAATTCTGTGAGATAAATACCATTATCATTTCATATTACAGATGAGGATGAGGAAGCGGAGGATCAGAGCTTACGTGATTGGCTCAGTATCACACAGTACCACACAATAAACGGTGAGAATAGAATGCAAACTACAGCCTCTATCTTCATTTCTCTTAATCACTAAGCTCTGCAGTTTTGAGTAACAGAAGGTTCCTGCCTACAGAAGCTAACTGGTTCAAAAATACAGGAGTCGAAATTTTACTACAGTTAATTAGGTTCCCTGAGAGCTGAGTAACAATAATAACAATAATAGTGCTAAGAAATTACTAATTAATGAGCACTGACTATATATGCTCAAGCTAAGTGCTTTCCCTGTGTTATTTTAACCTCTCCACAAAAGCACCCTTTGAGGAAGCTGGTATTCCCATTTTACAGACGAAGTAACTGAGTCAGAGAGCAGATGACGATCTTCCCGAAGCTCACCCAGCTAGTAGGTGGCAGAACAATCTCAGAGTGTCAGTTAGGTTCTACCAGTGGCTCAAAGACAGGTTCATGTGAAGAGTCCTGGGGTCTTGGTGGTCACTGCAGAATATCACCTATAGGCATAATATTTTCTTTTTTAAACTTGAAATGACTAAATGTATAATTTTGTGCTAAGTCGCATGCCATCTTAACAGGTTTCTGGGATGGGCAAAAGCCAAAGACCTAAATGAAAGTATAAGGTTGAAAAAGTATGAAGGCAAAACATAAAATTAATACATCTCTATCTTTTGACTTCTTTCTCTCCTTGTAAAGTGAGTATAGAGGGTTCCTATTGAATTTCATCAGTGGGTCACATCGGTTCAGCTATTGCGTTCCACGAAAGGAGAGTTAGAACCCACCTCCACCACCCGGCCATGTTTTGTCATTCTTTAATATTAATGTAATAGCAGCTGCCCTTTTTCGAGCATCTACATATGACAGTTAGGTTTTTATCCTATTTTACAGATGAGGAGATTCTGGCTCACAGAGGTGAAGTGATCTGCTCAAGATGAAATAGCCAGCTGGTGAAATTACTGAGACAAGCACTCAGGTCCGTGGAGATTTTGTGCAGGGTTATTTCAAATCCCCCACATTAGTTCCATGCCTCATTCTTATTTCTTTATTTCTGCTATTTTTTCCCCTTCACTTGATGTCATAGTTTCCTATTGACGCTGTAACAAATTACCACAAACTTGGTGGCTTACAACAACACACATTTGTTCTCTTACAGTTCTGGAGGTCACAGGTCTGAAATCAGTGTCCCTGGGCTGAAATCAAGGTGTTGGAAGGGCCGCACTCTCTGCAGAGGCTCCTGGGGAGACTCAATTTCCTTGCCTTTTCCAGTGTCTAGAGATGCATTCCTTGTATTCCTTGGGTCATGGCCCCTTCCTCCATCTTCACAGCCAGCAGCGTAGCATCTCTTTCTCTGATTCAGCACCCATGGCTGCTTTGGAGCAGTCTAATCTCCCTCTCTGCTTCTTTCCACACATTGCCTTCTTTTCTGTCTGTGTCAAATCTCCCTCTGCCTCTCTCTTAAAAGGGCATTTGTGATTGCATTTAGGACCCCTCTGGACTATTCAAAGTAATCTCACTAACTCAAGCTCCTTAACTTAATCACACCTTTTTCCATTTAAGGAAATAATCACAGCTTTCAGGGATGAGGACCTGATATCTTAGGGGGACATTTTTTAGCCGACCGCACTTTCCCTCAGAAAATTGCACTTTGCATTATTTTTATGGAAGTGGAAGTGGGATTAAGTTTGATCATCCGCACTATCTTGCTTGGTCTGCTTGGTGACCGTGAACACTATATGCTTACTGATTTCTTTCTAGCTATCCAACTTTGTGAGCCAGTTGCCTCATCAGAGCGTCCAGTTCATGGTGCATGCCCTCTCCCTTACATGGTTGTTATGAGAAAATTTCGCACAAGGCAGTGCCTACTCAACAGTAAAAGATAAGGAATTAAGCTCATGAGAAGGAGAAAAGTGCCTTTAAGGAGCTGATGACCAAATTGTGGCAATATATCACACATACACATGAAAAGTTGCCTAGTAATGCCAAGGATTGTTTACTAATTCACAAGCCATGAAGGACAAATGCAATTCAGAAGAGAAAGTGCCCCATCAGCTGAGGAGGTCAGAGAAGGCTGGAGAGGCTGCAGCGTGTATCGAGTTTTGAATAGTAGGTAGGATTTGTAATAAGTAGAAGGAAGCTACCATATTTGAACATCTTCTATGGGCTGAACCTTTCATACCTATCATCTCTTTTATTCCTTACCACAACCTTGGGTGGTGGGTATATATATATATGTTTACAAATGAAACCGAGGCTTGATCAGAGAGTTTATGTCCCTTGCTCAGCTAGTAGATGGCAGGCAGAGTTGAGATCCAACCTTAAGCCACCAGATGGGTGTGTGTTCTTTCTGCCTTCCAACATCTTTGGCCTGCCACCCTGGTCTCAGGGCTAAGTCATGGTAACATGGTCATGGTGTCCATTGGACAAAGGGAAGAAGATGCCAATAGTGCAGAGGAAAGAAACTACACAATATGAACACCTACAATAGTAGAGGTGGCCCACAGGCTAGATCAGACTTGAAGATACATTTTTGGATGGGCTCACCCAAGGTTTAAAGAAAATATGAAGCCCATCCCTGCAGTTAAAAAAAAAAAAAAATAGCCGCCTGGGCACGGTGGGTCACACCTGTAATCCCAACACTGTGGGAGGCCAAAGTGGGGGGATCACCTGAGGTTGGGAGTTCAAGATCAGCCTGACCAACATGGAGAAACCATGTCTCTACTAAAAACACAAAATTAGCCAGGCGTGGTGGCACATGCCTATAATCCCAGCTACTCGGGAAGCTGAGGCAGGAGAATTGCTTGAACCCAGGAGGCAGAGGTTGCAGTGAGCCGAGATTGCGCCACTGCACTCCAGCCTGGGCAACAAGAGCAAAACTCCGTCTCAAAAAAAAAAAAAATAGCCATCAACATAATGAAGGAGGTAGATTTTAATTCTTACCACTCACTTTCAGGCTTTAATCTCCAGGTTCCTATAGACATACAGGTTGGGGACTCTTGGTAAACCATAACTTTCAACATGCAGGCACTCATTTTGACAAACAAATCAGATATTCTCTACCTTCAACGTTGATTAAACTTTCTAAATAATGTCAGTATACTGACTAAAGACAAATTAAAGCACACTTGTTGAGCCATACCTCCTAGAAGCCCTGCCACAGGTCCCTTCTTCAGCGTCACTGAAGAAGCATCACATGACTATTTGAAATTAATAATACCTCTTGTCAGACATGTACTGCATTTGTGTACAAAACATTTTCCTATCCCTTTTTTCTTATTATCCTCAGAAAAGTGCTATGAGTTAGAGGTTCCTAGTCCAATATGCAGATGAGAGAATTCTTTAGATTGGCAGTGACCCTCATTGGAAAGAGCACTGTGTCTGGGTTCAAGCCCTTGTGAGGTGTCAAGCCAGGGCTTCCCTTTCCTGGCCTTAATCTCTATACCATGTGGAGGTGGTCAGACAAGATAGCTTGTACCAACCCATCTACTCTGAAATTCTGTGAAAGAAGAGCAGAATTTTATAACTGTAAGCATATTCACCCTCCTTTGCAATGGCACAAAACAGCCCCAATTTAAAATAAACTATGAACCTTGGTGGGCAGGTTTAGAGCTTTAGTATCCATTTTGCTCTTCTGCCCCAGTTCTGCCCATGTCTCTGTAGGCCCAGAACACCTTGCCATGTCTCCTTAGCACAGGTTTTTAGAAGGAATGAATTCCTGACTGTGAAAACTTAAACTGGTCCTCTGAAGAAAGTGAGGCTCAGAGAGGTTCAGTACCTTGTCTGGGGACACACAGCTGGTGAATGACATAGTTCAATGCAAGCAGCATGCAGGACAGCAACAGTCTGTGTAGAGGTGTTCCAGGTAAGAGCATTTTCTCTGTGATTCCTCCTGGGGCTGTATGTCAGGTGAATTCAGATCTGTCCTTGAGGTTAGGCCCTTTTAGGTCAGATTCGAGAAGCAACCCTTGGCCTTTTGGAGGTCTGAGGCATCTGCTTTTAAAATATACAGAGGGCCCGATGGCATTACAAGGCAAGGCTGTGGATATATCCGAGCCAATGTGGACACATGTTTGGTTCTGAAGCCAAAGGTTTGCAATTGGCTGGAGTGGCCCAGTGGGTGGCGGTTTGTCTAGCTGATGGTCTGGCACCGTCATGAGTCACAGCCTCAGGAGACAGAACCATGTGCCTGGAGATAGCACTGCCTGGGCCACCCTGAGCCCTGGTCTGTAGTATCCTCTCCACCTCTCTACTTTGGTTTCCTCCTCGGAAAATGAGAAGACAATGCGAATTCCCAGAACTGTTCTGAAGCATAAGACCACCGACTTCACATCTCAGCTTGTCTCCTTGCTGTGTGATTTGGGGCATGGTATTTAATCATCTGAGCCTGGCTTCCTTCATCTGTCAAATGAGCATAACAATGATGTCTCCAAAAGGTTGTGGTTCAGATGAGATAAAATCCTAAGAGTAAGGAGCCTGGCACTTAGGAGAAAGGCAGCCATTTTTGTTAGACTATGAAAGAGTTTTAGGAAACAGAAAGAGCCGCTGCAGTCTACGGTGGAGGTGAAGGCAGCATCACTTCTGTGTTGTTGTTATTATCCTTGACAGATGGGCCTGGACGAGAGGTCTGAGGTGAGTTGGGGAAGGCATGAGTCATGTGAGGGCAGCCCCCGGAGCTCCCAGTGCAAGAGGCACTGCATTTTAAACTAGTTGTGGAATTCATTCCACTGCCTTTTTCAGCCCCAAAGACACTGGAAAAAAATAAAATAAAAAGCAAACCACAGCATTTTCAGGCCTCCCACTGGTTTTGCCTTTCTTCCCCCAACGTATTGTTTTTGGGAAGGGCTGTTTCAGCCACAGCGCTGTCAAGAAAACAAGGTGGTTTCCCTTGACCCTTGGCAACCAACACATGCTTTTTCCTACGCTTTGGTGCAGAAGCCCACAAGTGATTTTTAAAAATAATAAAATTCTTCTCTATAAATAAACCCTTATGCTTTCTGCTGTGGGTCTTGGATGGATGAGTTTCTTCTTCTTTCTGAACTCAGTAAGGGCTAAGTTCCCCTCCACAGAGGAACTGCACATTGTGAAGCAAGGGATATTTTGGTGAATCACCTGCCATTGCGTTTTCCACCAATGCAGGAATGGCAAAGTTCTGGAACTTTTACTTAAAGATCCACCATTCCTCAAGAAGACCTATAGCCTCCACGGAATACCCTATCCCCTCTTCCTCTAGAGATTTTACTACTGCTACCGTTACTGGTTTTCCAGAGTCTGACAAATTAAGCATTTATAAGAATTGACTCAGTGACCGCAGAGCAACAGAAAGAGGATGAGTTTTAGAGTCCAGAGACCTGGGTGTGAATTTTAACTTTGCTCCTGACTAACTGTGTAACTCTGGACAAAAGGCTTATATAATTTTGGGCAAGTTACTTAACATCTATGTTAAATGTATGCCTGCCTTGTTTTTGGGATTCCTGAAATGGATATAAATGGTCCATAACTCATGGAGCTGTGGTGAAAATTAAATGGAAAAAAAAATGCATTTGAAGCCCCAAGTACACAGTAGGTACTCAATAAATGGTAATTGGTATCGGGTAAGTTCTCAGCATGACTAGTTATGATCAAGAAAAAGAAGGCTCATGCAGCGCGGACTTGGAAGTGGGATTTGATGAAGGGACAACAATTTATAGGGATAGGGACAGAGCTAAGGAAACCAATGAGAGATGCTGAAGCACTCAGAGACTTGCAACACCAGGGAACCATTGCTACCCTGAATCTGCAAGGACAGGAAGAGGGTGAGATGTTGCTGAAGCCATGGAGGAGGGGCTGCTGGCAGGAACTACGGTTGCAGAGGAACCCGGCCACTGGCAGACCCTGGCACAGAAGCAGGGAAAGAGCTGGAGGAAATTCCCAACCTCTTTCTCCTCCCACCCTTTAATCTCTTGCCGATGCCTACCACTGGCTAAACCCAACTGGAAGATAGGAGGCAAAGGAGTCCCCCGAGGCAATCAGGGGCATTAACCTCTCTATGGCACAGTGCAGATGGCACAGTGCAGACCAGAGAACAGATCTGGTTGGGAAGGGGGTACAAATGGAGAATCACCAGGTCAGAGAGAATTTATTGTGATTCACATATTGGCTAGTATTAGTCCACCCAAACCATGAATAAATCTCCTGCAAAAATCCTAAAGTGCTGACTGTGATCACATCACTTCAGGTGTAAAAAAGCACATTGGACTCTAGTGCCTAAAGAAATGAGCTCCCTTCTCACCAGGCATCCCGGCCCAGGCCCTCTCTCCCAGCTCATCTCCTGCTTCTCCCCTTCTTACATTCTCTGGAATGCACATGCCCTGTCATGCTTCCCTGCTTTCCACTTACAGTTCTGTTTGAAACTTTCGACGGGTGAAAATCCTCACCAATCCTCTGCCCCCATCTTCCTCTGATTGGCCAACTTCTCATCCTGCAACAATCAGTCCAGTCATCACCTTCTCTGTGAAACATACCTAGCCAGTCCTTCTCTGTGTTCCCATACCTCTAGAAGCAGCAGAGAGTTATAAGCAGGGCTATTCCTGGTTGCCCTAGTTTCTAGCTGCATTGTGTGCTTGCCACTTAATACTCTTGGTGAGTCATTATCGTCATCTATAAAGTGGGCTGATAATAGTGCCCACCACATAGGGTTTGCCTAGGGAAAAAATAAGTCCATATATACAAATCAATTAAAGCAATGCCTGGCATATAGTAAGTATGTAGTAAGAATAAATATTGGCTAACTTAGTTTTATTTTTTTATTACCGTTTTGTCATAGTACTTAACTCACTGTAGTATAATTCAAGGTTTATTTTATTCCACCATTGATTCTGTGAGCAACTCAAGGTTAGAGTCTATGTGTGTATTCCCAATGCCTGGCATAGTGTTTGACACATAGTAGGTGCTCAGTAAATGTTGAATGAGTGAATGAATTAATAAATGAATACATGAATGATATGAGGACTCAAAGTGAGTTTTTGGAATCTGGTTTGAGTTTTCATGTGAACCACACTATATGCCTTTTCTCAAGAATTTGAACAGTGAAGAAGTCAGGTCTAAAAACATTAAGCCCCTGAAGACTGAGATGGGGCCACCCAGCAGGACAACTCTCCTGTAGGCCTAGTTTGGGTGGAACCCTGCCCTGAGCAGCCAGCCAGTTTCTAATCTAATTGTGTGATAAAAGAAACACCTCCTCCACCCTTCACACTTCCTCCTCCCACATTAGAAACCAAGAGTAATGATCTGCATTTGTGCCAGAGCCCCAGCCATCACTGGGGAAGACACACATGTTCCCCTGTTCAGGCAAAATCATCCTTAGGACATGCCAGGGTGGAGGGGTCTGATCAGATAATCCAGGGTTCTGGGATGTTCCAGGGGTCAACTCAGTCCTGAGAGCAGGTGTGTGCTTGGGGAGTGGAGGACACAGAACCTCTGCTCTAGGCCCTCAGCATCTGGACACACTTCTGGACTTCTAGTACTCCTTCCTCACTTCCATTGACTCATTTACTCTCTTACCTGTTTCCTCCCATCACATCCCATCATATTCAGTTAAGATAAAAGGCAAAATCCTGTACAGCCCTGCATGATCTGCCCCCTGGCAACACCTCAGCCCTCATTTCCTCTGCCATCCCCCTCTCTTACCTACAGCAGGTGAGCAAACCCCTTAGCTGGTTTTGGCTGAGCAAACACACTTGCTATTTCCTTGCTTGGAAGTTTCTTGCCTTAGGCATCCTCTTGGCTCTATCCTTCTCCTCATTCATTCATTAGCTCTTTTATTTAACAGACAATTAAACGTTTTTGTTAAATTTTAAATTTTTACTTTTAATTGTTGAAAAATGGACATAAAACTTACTATGTTAACCATATTTAGGTGTGCAATTCAGTGGAGTTAAGTTCATTCACACTGTTGTGCAACCATCATCACCATCCATCCCCAGAACATTCTTCATCTTCCAAAACTGAAACTCCATACTCATTAAACAATAACTCTCCATTTCTCCTTTTCCCCAGCTCCTCACAACCACCATTCTGCTTCCTGTTTCTATGAACTTGACTACTCTAGGCTCCTCATAGGAGTGGAATTATACAGTATTTGCCCCCTTTGTAACTGGCTTATTTTACTTAATATGATGTCCTCAAGGTTCATCCATGCGGTGACATATCTCAGAATTTCCTTCGTTTTTAAGGCTGAATAATATTTCATTGTATGTATAGGCCACATTTTGTTTATCCATTCATCTGTTAATGGACACTTGAGTAGCTTCCACCTTTTTTCCATTATAAATAATACTTCTATGAATGTGGGTGTACAAATATCTGTTCAAGTCCCTACTCTCATTTCTTTGGGGTATACACCCAGAAGTAGTATTGTTGAATCATATGGTAATCCAATATTTTTTGATAAACTACCATACTGTTTTGTTCTGTAATTGCACCATGTCACATTTCCACCAGTAAGGCACAAGAATTCCAATTTCTCTACATCTTCATTAACACTTGTTATTTTCTGTTATTGTTCTTTTTGATGGTAGTTATTCTATTCTAATGACTGTGACATGGCATCTCATGGTGGTTTTTAACAGACTATTTTTTGAGCACCTACTATGATCCAGGTCTAAACTGAATGATTGTCAGAGCATGCAAGTAAAATCTAGTCCCTGCCTGCCAGGAAGGGAGAGGGCAGAAAAATAAACCAGAAGTGAACCATATGTGAAACTGAGCCCCTTACTGATATTCTCTCATTTGATCCTTACAATCTCCCTAAGGTGGGTGTAATTATCCCATTTTAGTGAAGAAACCAATATTCTCCAAAGTTCAGTAACTTGCATTCTGGTCATAGAACTAATATATGTGACCCAACTGAAAACACATGTTTTTGAGACTTAAAAGCTCTTTTGTCTATGACAGTTGTTCTCAAATATTTTTTTTAATTTAACTGAGCAGAAAAATATAAAAATAATTTCGAGGCATCGATAGAGTGTTGCCAACTTTTTATTTGGCAAAATGAGAACATTGGAAATCAATTAATTTATGATCTAATGCCACTATCCCTGCATAAAAAGAAATTTTAACCACATACCCTTTGGAAAAACACACACACACACACATGCATGATAAAAGAAAGTTTATTCAACTGAATAAACTGAGCTTTATAAGAACCCCACTCCATTGCCAGTATTTTCCTCATTTCCCTGCCCCGGTAGTGAGGATCATGTCTCAAACTATGGCCAGTCCTTGGCTTCTAGGTGTGGAGTAAACCAGCCTCCCAGGCCCTCAGGTGCTGTGTAGGTGTCATGGGAAATGCAAAGCCAAACGTGAGGCTGCCTTCAAAAACTACAGAAGACAAATTTAGTCATGGACACGGCAGAGAGAATTAAGTGTTCTCGCTGCTTAGCCAGCCTGCTTTGCAAACAAGGAGGTCGGAATGTTCACCAAACCTCACCATTTCCTCCACTTTTATAACCTCTCTTGAATTTTCCTCTCTTTCACCCCTGAATCAGGTTCCATTTTCCAGAGGGAAGTAAAAACTTCTATATACAAAAGCCACCACAAACAAAGAGAAAAGATGAGGCATGAATGGGAAAGTAGTTGCTAAATATATAAAATACACAAAGGTTTGCATTAAGAATATATAAGATTCCAGTAGGGAGGCTGGGTGCGGTGGCTCACGTCTATAATATCAGCACTGTAGTAGGCCGAGGGGGTGGATCACCTGAGGTCAGACATTCGAGACCAGCCTGACCAACATGGCGAAAGCCCTCCTCTACTAAAAATACAAAAATTAGCAGGACATGGTGGCGCAGGCCTGTAATCCCAGCTACTTGGGAGACTGAGGTAGGAGAATCACTTGAACCCGGGAGGCAGAGGTTGCAGTGAGCCAAGATCCTGCCATTGCACTCCAGCCTGGGCAACGGGTCAAGATTCCGTCTCAAAATAAATAAATAAATAAATAATTTAGTAAGGAAATCAATAAGCAAAAAGGGCCCACTATCGCCCTGCCTTCAGCCTTGCCTGAGTCTACACTGTTGTCCACACAGCAAGCAGAGTAATTGCTCTAAAGTAAAGCATTGCAGTGGATTGTTCGTGTGGTTGACCAGTTCAGGATTTGGGTCTAGGCTGCCTGGTTTTCATCCCAACTCTTATTTTCTAGCTTTCTGACTTGGAGCAAGTTATTTAACCTCTCTGGGTTTCAATTTATCTCTAACTGAGGATAGGTGTGCAAGCTTCATAGGGTTGTTGTGTAAAATAAGTAAGCTACTACTTCTAGAAGTTAGAGCATTACCTGGCATGTGGTAACTGTTTAAGAATTACTAGCATCACCTGCGGGAAGCCCTCGAAGACCTATTCTTTCCTCCTCCCCTACGCTTTGTGCTTCCGTAAGATCCTGAGGACGCTTTTATCAGTGTTTATATATTTTAAATATATAGTGCTTACATAGTTAAAAAACTTGCTGGGCACAGTGGCTCATGCCTGCAATCCTAGCATTTTGGGGGGCTGAGGCGGGCAGATCACCTGAGGTCAGGAGTTCGAGACCAGCCTGGCCAACATGGCGAAACCTTGTCTCTACTAAAAATACAAAAATTAGCCGGGCGTGGTGGTGCATGCCTGTAATCCCAGCTACTGTGGAGTCTGAGGCAGGAGAATCATTGAACCCAGGAGGCAGAGGGTTGCAATGAGCCGAGATTGCACCACTGCACTCCAGCCTGGGTGACAGAGCCAGACTCCTTCTCAAAAATAAATAAATAAAATAAAATAAAAAACTATAAAATATTCACTATACAGGAAAATACAGACAATGTAATGAATGGTCATGTCTCTTTCATTTTGCTCTTCAAATCTTATCATTTTGTCATATTTGATTCAGATTTTTTAAGAAGAGTTCGAACATTACAGTAAAGCTGCGGCTCCTTGTGTGTCAATCTCCAATCCTATTCCCTTCTGTCACTCCCCAGATGTGGCCACTATCTGATTTTAATATTTGCTATTCCCTTGCAAACATTTATACTTTATCCATAAGCAATTGTAATAATTTTGCATATAGCAAAACTTTATATAAATGATATCATACTATAAATATCCAGCAATTTTCTTTCTTGGTCAACATTTTATCTTTGGGATTTATTCATGTAGAATTATGTACTCTATTTTTGTAGTTGCCATTTACCATGTTAAGGAAGATCCCTACTATTCCTAGTTTGCTGAGTCTGCCATAGATAGATATTGCTTTTTCTGCATCTATTATCATGTAGTTTTTCTTTAGTCTGTTAATAGGGTGGATTACAGTCTTTGATTTTTTTCGATGATGAATCACCTTGCATTCTTCATATTAATCCCACTTGGTTGTGAGCTATTATCCTTTTCATATGCTACTGGATTTGATTTGCTAATATTTTGTTTAATTTTATTTTATATTATTGTGCTGTGTCTGGTTTGGATATCAGGATAATGCTGGCCACTTAAAAGGAGTTGAGAATGTTCCTTTTCCCTATTTTTTGAAAGCTTATATACAATTAACTTTTTTTTAATGTTTGGTGCAATTCACCAGTAAAACCACTTGGACCCAAACTTTCCTTCATTGGAAGGTCTTTAACTATAATCTCAATTTCTTTAGTAAATATAGGACTACGTAGGTCATATATTTCTTCACTAGTGAGTTTTGGTAGTTTGTGTATTTTACGAAAATGGACCATTTTATCTAAGCTGTCAAATTTATGAGTTATTTATAGTATATCAATTATCCTTTAAAATCTGTGAGTTCTGCGGTGATAGCCTCTTTTTTGTTCCAGATATTGGTAAATTATATCTTTTCTCTTTTTATCTTATGCTTTCTTCATTCCTAAAGTCCAAGTATTTTTGTTGTTTTATCATTCCCTCTCCACCTGAAGAACTTCCTTTAGCATTTATTTTAGAGCAGGTCTACTAGTAACACATTTTGCTGATTTTCCTTTATCTGAGAATATCTTAATTTTGTCTTCGCTCCTGAAGGATATTTTCACTAGATATAGAATTCTGGGTTTGCAGCTCTTTTCTCATAGGCCTTTAAAAATGTTGTTTCACTGTTTTCTGGTCTCCACGGTTTCTGATGAGAAATATGCGATCATTGTTCCCCAATGTTTTCTGGTTTCTTTCAAGATGTTTTTCATTGTATTCAGTTTCATCATGTGTCTTGGTGTATTTTACTTTGAATTTATCTTGTTTGGGGTTTCTTGAGCTTTTTAAAGCTGTAAATCTATGACTTTCATCAAATCTGAGAATTTTTCTTTTTTTTGAGATCTGAAGTGATTTTACCTTTAATTCCGTCACTTTAAGCCAATCATGAAATTTCACAGTGATTTCTGGGGTGGGGGCAGAAGGAAGTCGATGTTAAATATCATCAGGGCTGTGGTCCAGTCAGCCTGTGGAGGTGCAGGCAAGGTGGGCCCTCACTGGGGCAGCTGGAGGAGCACGGACTGCCCCGCTGGCAGGTAGGTGATGTTCTGAGAGCGTGAGAGCTGGTAGGCGATGTCCTCCGCAGCTTACAGCTTGCGCAGCTCGATCAGGCCGTCCCCTGCAGTGGCCAGTGAGTTGGCAATCAGCTCAGCTGCCTTGGAGTCACCCTCAGCAGAGATGATAGCTGCCTTTTTCTGCTGCTTAGCCTTTTCCATCACAAATCTGGCCCTTTCTGCTTCCTGCTGAGCCACCTGTTTGGCTCCCACTGCTTCTGTGAAGTCCTTCCTGAAGGTCAGATATGTCAAGGACACGTCGTCCAGGATGAGCCTAAAGGTGGCTGCTCACTCCGTAAGGTTGTCGCTCACCTGCCTGGAGACCAGCTCTCTCTGGGTGATTAGTTCTCCAGCATCAAAGCAAACCACCACTGACTTGAGCATCTCAGTTGTGATGGATGGCAGCACAGGCTCATCATAGTCCTCTCCGATGCTGGTGAAGATGCGAGGAAGCTGGCTAGCGACGGGCTGGAAGGGGATGTGCAGTGTGATGTTGACATTCTGTAAATCTTTGCTACCAGTGATGACTGACACATTACGTGGTCAAGAATGGCAGTCAAAGATAACTGGTTTCTGTACCCAGAGGATGAGAAAGTGAGTCCCTTCCCCTACCACAATTTCCTGTACTCCACGGAATCGGTCAAGGATGACAGCTCTGTGCCCAGCATCCACATTATATAAGGCAGAGTTCACCACGCCTCCTGCAACAGCTTAGACCAGGCCAAACTTGCCTATGGACTCAAACACTTTGGCAGCCATGTTTTCTTCTGCTGGACCTCTCACACCTGTTTCCACTTTGACCTCCACATGAATTCCCCCGAATCTGAGAAGTTTTAGCCGTGATTTCTTCAAATATTTTTCTAATACTAATCTCTTTCTTCTCTTTTCTATCATTCTGTCATTTCACTCTGATGACATGAATGTTACATCTTGTGATATCAGGCCACTTGTCCCTGAGACTGCTTATTGTTTTTCAGTTACTTTTCTGTATTTTTCAGATTAGATAGCTTCTATTGATCTATCTCAGTGGTCAGAAAACCATGGTTCACAGGACAAATCTAGCTTGCCTGTTCATTAAATAAAGATTTATTGAAACAGCTATTTCCATTAATTTACATATGATCTATGGCTGTTTTCATGCTATAATTGTAGAGCTGAGGAGTTATGACATAGTTTATGGTCATTCAATTCTAAAATATTTACTATCTGTTCCTTTACAGGAAAAGATGGCCAGCCTAATTCCTCATCTTCAAGTTCACTGACTCTATCTCCATTATGTTACTGATCTCCTTCAGCGAATTATTTTATTTCTATCATTGTATTTTTCATTATAAAATTTTCATTTTTTTTCAATAGCTTCTCTTTGCTGAAAGTGTCCATCTTTTCATTTGTTTCACTATTCACTAATGCTCTCTCCCACTTCATGGAGCTTAATTATATTTGTGTGTGTGTGGAGGAGGTGTGTATGTGTGTGTGTATAACAGTTTCTTAGAGTCTTTGTTTATTCCACCATCGGTACCTTGGTCAATTTGGTGTTGGTGTGTGTTGATTGGTTGATTGTCTTTTTTCTTTGAGAGTTGGTGAGATTTTCTTGTTTTTTTTTTTTTGTTATTTGTGTATTGATTAATTTTGAATTGTATCTTAGACATTTGAATTATGTATAATTCTCTAGGTCCTGTTAAGATTCTTTGAAGAGGCTGGGTGTGGTGGTTTGCCTGTAATCTCAGCACTTTGGGAGGCCAAGATGGGTAGGTCACTTGAGCCCAGGAGTTTGAGTCTAGCCTGGGAAACATGGCAAAACCCTGTCTTTACAAAAAATACAAAAAATTAATCAAGCATGGTGGTGTGCACCTGCTGTCCCAGCTACTTGGGAGGCTGAGATGAGAGAAGTACCTGAGCCTAGGAAAGTTGAGGCTGGAGTGAGCTGTGATCATTCCATTGCACTCCAGTGTGGGTGTTGCACTGAGACTCTGTCTCAAAAAAAAAAAAAATTCTCTGAAGAATGTTGATTTTTTTCTAAAGCAATTAAAAGAGTTAGGCTCATACCCCAACTCCCAACTTACTTTTTGTGGGATGAGGTTCTAATGCTAGCTTCATTTTCAAAGCCTTTGCAGTGCTATTAGGGTCTGCCCCATGTGGACACTATCCAGGGGCTGGTCTGGGGCCTAGGAAACGGCCCACATTGTAGTTCAGACTCAAAGCCTTCATTATACTGTTTTGGGTCAGTTCCTTGTACGTGAATCCTGCGAGTGAGCCCAGGATTTCATACCCAGATTTAAGAGATCTCTTTTTCCATCTCCCTCTTCTCTATGATTTCCCCACTCTTCCATATGCAGGGTCACATTTTCCTGTTGTGCTGGAGAGAAAGCCAGGGTTTTAGCCTCCTGTGCTGTCAGACATTTTTCACAACTGTGTCCACTTTGAGAATGAAGCAGTTAGAAAAAGGAGGAACAAAATAATGGAGACTGCTTCACAGTCTTTAGACTGCAGGGGTCTATTTTCCCAGTTCCTTTGGTCAGAGGGAAGAATTTTCTCTTACACTTTTTATTGCCTAAGAACCACTGTTGCCACCACTGCTGCAGGAGTATAGTTCATGACTAAGTCTGGCTTTGGCACCAAGCTAGGAGAATAAAAAAAGTAAAATGAAATGAGAGTACCCCTACAGTCTTTGTCCTGAAGGGCCCGCCCTCCCAGTCTTCCAGCCAGAAAGAGAGAGTTCATCTTGATGTTTTTCTGTCCATGTTTACTGCACACTTCAGAGATCCAGGCTGCCCTAGGGTTTCAGCTAGGAGATATAGCAGGGGGAGAAAACCTCAGGACACTTAACCCCCTAGTGATGGTTGATTTTATGTATCAACTTGACTGGGCATTGGGGTACCCAAACATTTGATCAAACATTATTTTGGGTGTGTCTACAAGGTTTTTTGTGAATGAGATTAATATTTAGATTGACAGACTGAGTAAGCAGATGGCCCTCCCCAGTGTGTATGGGTATCATCCAATCAGTTGAAGGCCTGAATAGAACAAAAAGACTGACCTTCCCATGAATAAGAGGGAGCTCATCCTGCCTGACTGACTTCGAGCTGGGACATTGTTTTTTTCCTTCCTTCAAACTTGAAGCATCAGCTCTTCCTAGGTCTTGAGGCTACCAGCTTGTGGACTGGTTCTACACCAGTGGCTCTCCTGGTTCTCAGACCTTCAGATTCAGAATGGAACTATACCACCATCTGTCCTAGGCCTCCAGTTCACTGACTGAAGATCTTGAGGCCTTTCAGCTTCTATAATCACATGATCCAATTTCTTACAATAAATCTCTCTTGATATATAGATATATATCTATCTATATCTATAGACAGATATATATCTATAGATACATCTGTATGTGTGTATATATGTACATATATCTTTATGTGTGTGTGTGTATATATATATATATATACACACACACACATAAAGAAAAAAATATATATATATGCATCCTATTGGTTTTCTCTTGAGAATGCTGACTAATTACACCCCTGTATCAGTTGTGCTTTCAGTTTTTATTTCCCTTCCCAACCCACCTGTTATTGTTTACTTGTCAGAGTCCTCAGATAAATCCTTATGTATTCTCTCCAGGCTTTTTAGTTGTCAGTAGTAAGAGAGACAGATTAGAGTGTGCTCACTAGCTAAAACCAGAATGTCCCAGCTCAGTTATTTTTAACTGTTATAAGTCTTACATGAGATGAATATACTACAATGCATTTCTCCATTGATACGCTCTTGGGTTTTGTCTGCGTATTCTCTGTGAATATATGCAGAGCTTATCCACAATATATACTTAAATGTGAAATTGCTGAGATACAGAGTATACCTATCATCAAATTTACTGAATAATGCCCAAATGTTCTCCAAAGTGATGATGTAACAATTTAGACTTACACCAGCAATGTCTGAGTCTTTTCACTGTTTCCTGTGCTCATCAACTGTTGGTATCATTAGATTTTTCAGTATGTGACAATATGTATGAAGTGATACCTCAGTGTTTTATTTTTCTGATTACTAGTGATATTGGGCTTCTTTTCCAAAGTTTACTGCCCATTTATATTTCTTCTTCTGGATTTATTTGTTTATATCAGTTCTTTTCTGTTAGACTTTTAAAAATCTTTTTCTTATTGATATTCTTAGTTAATACTTGTATATAGTCTATTATCTTTCATATACGTAGCAAATACTTTTCCCCATTTGTCTCTTGCCTTTCTCACTTTGTTTATCGTAACTTTGGTCTGTGGAAGTTTTTATGTTTTAATGCCAGAAGAGGGAATCATTGTAAATACTTTCTTCTTTCTTACCCTCTACATTAAGTTAGTTTCCAAACCCTATTGATCTAGATTTCCAAACCCTGTCTCTGCCATCTAGGCCACATTAACTTCTTCTGCCCCAGTTTAGGCCCTACTGCCTCTCTCCTGGACAATTACAATAGTTTCTTAATAGCTCCCTGATATCCGCTCTCACCTAGACACACAGTCTTTATGGGGCCCTTTAAAACATGCAAATCCAGGTATTCTTCTGGGTTAAGACCTTTTGTGTTTTCCTTCACATAGAGGACCAAGTGTAAGCTACTTCACATGGCAAACAACAACAAAACACTCCACCAGGCTCTGCCCATTGCTGGTTCCTCCAGCCCCACGGACTCCTGCTCACACCTATGCTCCAGAAACACTGTGCTGCTTCTTTCTTCTTCAGAACACCAGGCATTTTCACACACTGACTTCCTAACTGACACCTTTATATTTAAAATAACCGGTGACAACTCACTGTCTCCCTTGCCTCAAAGAAATATTTCCAAGGCTTCAGGGTGGGGTGGGCGGCTCTGGCACAGAATGAATAGCTACTATGTACCAGACACTTCCACCTATGTAATAGTAATATTTAATTCTCACAGCAACACTCTGAGTATAGACCACTGACCTCATTTTATTGACAAGGTGGCTAATGTTCAGAGATGTTAAGCAACTTACTAAAGACACAAAGCTTGAAAGCAGCAGAACCAGAGACTGAACCCAAGTGTTTGGTGCTCTAGTGACTGATGCAGAGCCTTTCTGGCTCATAAGGACTGGATTTGAATCCTGGCTCTGCCTCTCCCTAGCTTTATGACTATGTAAAAGTCACCTCACCTCTCTGAGCCTCAGTTTGCTCATTTGCAAAATTGGAAAATTGTACTTAATGGTCTGTAAGCTTCTTTTCCTCCTGGAGACATAAAATTCTCTGCAATACCCACATGGTCCTACACATTCCTTCGGTACAGTGCTTCATGCTGAGAAGAGTTGACTTTCTGATGATCCCAAGTCAGCAGAAACCTGATGATCTTCTCCCACCCCCTTTAAAGTTTTTATACCAGTTTCTGAACTAGCACAACAACTCCTGCCAAAAGTCTGCATGTCTAGGCTCATGCCTCGCTTATTGCATCTTTTCCTGGAGCCAAAAATCCACTAGAAAAAGGGAGACAATAAATCCAAAAGCAATATTCTCACGAAATTACATTAAATTCTGCTCACTCTCTGAGTGACCATGTGTAACCCTCTGCTCCACTTTGAGCCTTGATGTCCTCACATGTACAAAAATGAGGGTTGGTTTACAGTAGACTGAAGTCCAACCTTCTATGATACTGAGACATTAAAAACCATCTGTGGCAAGAATTTGCTAACAAAAGAGTGAATTATGAAATAAATCCCCAGTCTCCTAGGGAAAACTGAACCTCAGCATGTTCAGGCTGTCTCTTTTGGAATTCTCAGTTACTGTCTCAATTTCAAGGTGAGAGTGCAGGAAAAATTTCCCAAAGAGCAATGATTTAAAACTGAAGAAAGGAGGGAAGGAGAGGAGTAAAACGAAGTTCCGTCTTATCCAGGATGGACATTTAAGATGGTGCCTTTTTTTTTTTTTTTTGAGACAGAGTCTCGCTCTGTCACCCAGGCTGGAGTGCAGTGGTGCCATCTCGGCTCACTGCAAGCTCCACCTCCCGGGTTCACGCCATTCTCCTGCCTCAGCCTCCCATGTAGCTGGGACTACAGGCACCTGCCACCATGCCCGGCTAATGTTTTTTTTTTTTTTTTTGTATTTTTAGTAGAGACGGGATTTCACCATGTTAGCCAGGATGGTCTCCATCTCCTGACCTCGTGACCTGCCCTCCTTGCCCTCCCAAAGTGCTGGGATTACAGGCGTGAGCCACCGCGCCCAGCCAAGATGGTGCATCTTAAGTTTGCAGAGACTTGGAGTCAGGTGCTCTTAGGTTTAACTCCCCGTGCCATTACTCACCAGCTGTGTAACATTAGGCATGTCACTTAACCTCTCTGGGCCAGTTTCATTATCTGTTAAGATGTAGGCTAGTCATTTTTATCACAATTACCTGTGAGGCTTACAGAAGCTGGCATGTGAAAGTAGCTGTTTATTACAATGTAGGTGTTCAAAATTGCTCATCTATTTTCTTGTGTATTTTCTATTTAAAGAAAATTAGGAACTGCCAAGAGAACACAAAGAAACTCAAGGCCAGATGTTTTCAGATGACACATCTATAAAAAAGTGCTCTGGTAGCATCCTGAATCACAGAATCCTAAAACTAAAAGTGACTCTAGCAACGATCAATTAC
The DNA here is from genome assembly GCF_000001405.40 of Homo sapiens. Classification (NCBI taxonomy): domain Eukaryota; kingdom Metazoa; phylum Chordata; class Mammalia; order Primates; family Hominidae; genus Homo; species Homo sapiens. The sequence goes on along the minus strand of NC_000001.11, from coordinate 58,993,809 downwards.
AGAATGATTAGAGCAGCTTTACTATGCTGTATCCCCTGCCATTTGCCACTGCTTGAATACCGACACTGATGTCGGAGGTCACTGCTTTCCAGAGTTCATGAAGAGAGGTGGCTTGGGGGCAAAGCATTGGTACTTCAAATGTCAGACCCAATGACCCTTCCAATAATGAAGTCTCCCTATGTCCTCATTTATAATCTAACTATTACGAAACAATTTGCAGTTTCTAACACACTCCTGTGTCATTCTACCAAACTTTTGTCCTTGCTGTTCTCTCTCCTTGGATACTCTCTCCCTGCTTTGCCCTCTTCTTCATCCTTTAAGATGCAGCTTAAACATAACCACCTCTGAGAAGTCCTCAATGAACTTCCTGCTCCAAGTTGGGTTAGGAGCTTCTCTGTACCCCCTATGTCCTTTTATAGAGCATCCAATTAAAGTAAGTGATATTATCTCTTCACATATTGGTCTCTCTCACTAGACTGGGGTTGTTCAAAAGCAGAAACCTTTACTTCCACATGTCTATATCCCCAGCTTCTTGCACAGGGTCTAACTCAGTAATGTAACTATAAACTCTCTGAGGGGCTGAGCCACCCAAAGGAGCAGGGAGGTCTGCGTAGAGGAGGCAGTGGCTGTGTTGCATGGGGAGGATCTGCCCAGCAAGTGAACTCAGATCTGGTCTCCTGAATGGGATAAAATAGAGAAGAAAGGCTTTTATTTCAAAAATTCTCTGGGAATGGTTTTTGTTTTATGTCTGTCTGCCTCCACCTGAATGCAAGGAAAAGTCAGTGGAAAGTATCGAAACAGACTTTTCTATTCTTCCCCCTTAAACTACACCCAGCAAATGGGTGGAAAGCTTGGACATGTGTCTCAATCACACTATGCTCCAAGAACAAAATAGTAACTGTTCCTCAGGTTTATTTGAACAGGACAATGGGGTGTAATGCCATTAAGTTTTAACCAAGTTATTCAATAATGTGGGAGTAGGAGGGATAGACATTCTACCAATCCAAATACTTGACACTGTGCTAGGTGCTTTCCACACATTAGTGCACAATACATCTGTGAGGATAAGGATTGTTGTCTGTTTCACACATGTAGAAACTAAAAGTCTAGAGGTTAAATAACTTTAAGCTAGTCTTACATGTAGGAGGAGACCGATCTAGGTATGATTCCGAAATGTATGCTTTTCTGTAACAGCCCAATAACCAATATGTTAGAGATTGTAAATTACCTACCAAATACTTGTTTTCCCCTTTGTGTTGCAATATGGAACTCCTATTCTTTACTGGGCAAATTGTCATCTAGAATAAAGCTACATTTCCTAGCTCTCCTTACAGGTGGAGAAGTCACAGGACAAAGTTCTGCTCAAGGGTGGTGTAGTCAGAAGGGGCTAGTGGGGCTTCAGGGAAGGCTCCTTGAAAGGAATAGTAAAGTGTCCTTTTGCTTTCTCCTGATTTCTCCTGCTGCCAAGCTAAAACCAGACGTGTTTCATGGATCTCTGAAGCCATGTTGGACCTTGAGGTGACTTTGAGGATGGAAGCCATGTGATAGAATGGGGGTGTCCCTGATAACCATAGAGCCTTCAACCAACGCTGGGACTTCGGACTTCTTTTGTACAATAGAGGAAATCCTCATGTGCTTAAACCTCTGTTTCTGAGGCTGATAAAATACTTATGAAGTCTAGGCTGAATCACAAACTTACTGTGGAGCTTTAGGCAAATTATTTAATCATTTTAGACCTTGATTTTTTTTTAATCTGGAAAATAAGTAAATTGAATTACAGCGGCATTTTCAAAGGTTCTTTCTAAGGCTAAAGCAATTATAATAACTGGGCAACCAGCACTGCTGGGTCTAAAAAGACCACAGAATATCAAAGTCCTTTTCTCAGGATTTCCAAAGTAGTTAGGAAGACAAGCAGAACATTCATTCATTCATTATTCATTCATTCATCCATCTATTCATCCAGTGTAGAGAATGCTGTAGAGTACTGCCCAGATGCCCAACTAAGATCATTCCCCTAATTGCCAATAGTGTTGGTAACTGACAGCTCACAGTTCTTCTTGTTCAAGATTTACTCTTGGTTGAATGGTACTCCCCCAAGCAAAGCTATGCCTGGTTTCTATTGGCAGTCCATATCCATCATGGATTGATGTCAAAGGTACAAGAACCTGGTCCCCTGGCCTCAATTTGTGACAATTCAGAAGCACCATCCAAACTGCAGAGCCTCTGACTGCTGCATCCCAGCTCAACTTCTCCCTCCACCTAATCCTACTTTGCTTACTCCCTCATGGCTGGTGTTTCCGGAAGCACTCACCAGTAAACTTCCTGCATGCAAATATCTGCCTTAGAGTCTGTTTCCCAAGGCACTGAACCTCATCCTAAGACAGTTGGTACCAAGAGTGGCTCTACACTGGGATTTTGGAGCTGAATCACCTGCTGTCTGGCTGGCAACTAAAATCCCATCTCTGGAGCAGGGAGAGTACTGATAGAACCTGGCATGCTATAGCCTGACAAATGGGAGAATTTTCACTTTTAGGGAGCTGAGATGGGGTTATAGTGAAAGGAAAGGCACCCACAGGTGTAATATATCAGATATTCAAGAGCTATGGAGGAAAGCACAATTATTAAGACGGTGGAATGAGATGCTGCTGCTGAGTGCTATCAGTGTATTGGAGAAAGTCGTGCAGGCTTGAAGTGATTATTCACTAATTTAAGACAAAGTGTGAAAGTCAGAGGGCCTCCTTGACAGCATTTTCTTATCTCCTGCAGTTGGAGGGCAGGAGAAGCTGAGAATCAGGCCATGACTTAATTACAAGGGTAGCAGAGTTTCAATGAAAGTCTAATTTACCATCCTGACAGACGAAGGCCAGGGCCCTGGTCAGGAGGTGTGGGACCCTTAGATGTGGGCTAAGAATATCTGGGTTGAAGCCCTTGAGAACCTGAGAATGTTGACATTCCAGCTCTGCTTGTACCTCCTGGGCTGCAGAAGTGGCTCAGTCTTCCCAATTATGGGCTAACTCTTCCTCCTTGCTTGAAGATGACAGAGAGGACTCTGCCTGGCAAGGTAGAACCCTTCTGCTCCCCTTCCAGGCCAACAGACCAGAAATGAGGATCGAGTCACAACATAATTCTGCCAGGGACTTGCTGGGCTTCCAGGAAAGGGACTAGACCCTGAAGGAGCTGTAGGGCCTAGCCAACCTACACCAGCAGGAGCCAGGAGTGTGTGTCTAGAACTGGATCCTGAGGATCCAAGATGGGTGACATGGGGGTGGTGGGCAGGGGCGGGGGCAGGGGGTGGTGGTGATGGTATAGACAGTCGAATAATGGAGAATTTATTGATATGGGAGCACTCAGTAGTGTTACACAGGATTTAACATATGGTAAGGACCCTGAGAGACAGTCTCAATATGCCACTAGATTGGGTGTGGGGATCTTTCAGGAGGCCATGCTAGGGGCCCACACTAACTGAAGTAGACAAGCCAGGGGCGAGAAGGGAGGAAGAAATCAGAAGACTCAGAGAATTGAGCATGTTGGGGTGGATCAACTATATAAAGCCAGAGAATCTGACTTAAGGCCTTCAGTAAATATGGTCTGAGCATTCCTGGTGGGGAAAGGCACTGTGATAGTGTCTTGGGATACTAGGATCAATAAAGCACAGCACTTGTCCTCATGGTACCTATAAACTGTGATTATGAAGCAATGAGACTGATTTCTAAAAACAAAATCACTCAGAATACATGGATCCAAATGGGTGTGACTCTTGTAAGAAGTCCCTTTGGGAGACTCCAGACATCTCACTCATGTGGAGAAATCAGGGGAGGTGAAGTCACAGAGACTCCGGTTTAAGGGTTTAAGTCTAGTTTTGATTTCATTAGACCCACAGTTTAAACCTATAAGGCCTTGGGAAACTGTTTAATTTCTCTGCGCTCAAATTTTCTCATCTGTAGAACTCAGATGATAATATCTGCTCTGGTGGGGTGGTATCACATTTAAATTAAAGTAAGATCACATAAACAAAATGCCTGGTCCATTAAACACATTATAAACACCCAACAAAAGCTGGTTCCTTTTCCTTCTCTTATGATTCTATTTCTCTGCCAACTCCCTTTTTGTAAAGTGACATTTAAGTTTAGTCTAAGAGCCAAATAAGAAAATTCATCTTGTTTTTTCTTCCTTTTTTCCTTCCCTCCATGTCTTCTTGCTCTGGTTTATTTAACAAACATGGACTAGAGCACCCATTATGAGCCAGTCCCTGTTTCCATCACTCATCCTCTTCACCTGGTTCTGAAAGAGTTTTGACTAGTTTTACACAATGTATGTAGACTTACAAGGTGAATATTTGCCCCTCTAGGAGACACATGCCTTGGGTTCTGAAGCTCCAGGAAATGCTGGAGCCATAGCAGCTTCCCTGGAATAAGCCTTAGTCTTCACAATGTGATATGCTTGAGAAGTTTGCCCTCACTGGGTGTCTGACCTACATACCCGAAGTTCAATAGGAAAAGAAAGAAGTGACAATCCAGAACAAGAAATGCAAAGGTGCACTATCTCATGTGTCATAATCTCATATTTCATTTGTCATTATTATTAATGAAAAAATACTTAGTGTTTACAGTGGGTCAGATGTAGACCCTGGACAAGCGATGAGGGAGACAACCATAATGAGACACAGCCTCTGAGGGCTCCAAGTCCAGTGGTGGCAGCTGACTGGCTCATAGGTAACTATGCCACATGCTAGGAGACCTAACAAAATATGTTGGAAGCAGATGCCTCTGCCCAGGGGTCAGAAGGCTTCACATAGGAGGCAACCCTTAGCCTGAGACTTAAGGATGAAATGGATGGAGTGAGGAGGATGGCATTTCAGGCAAAGGGAACAGCATGTCCCAGGCACAGTGGCCAGAACAAGCAAGGAACATTTGGTTAACTAGTAGTTGTCCATCAGATGCTGGGAAACTGTAGGTTGGCTGGAGTACAGGAGAGGTCAGCAGGTCACACAGGGACTATGTGCCCAAATTTTAGTGTTATCCTAGTTTAGCCCTTGGTGTCATCCTAGTTTAGGACTGTTGTCCAAGCATTATAATAACAGCATTGCCTTTCACCCTCGAAAGTATCCCCATTTGGGCAATCAATTGCAGAGTCACCTTGTTTAAAGTAGGAGAGACATATGCTCCAATCTGTATTATAGGATGCTCACTCTAGTTGCCATGTGTACTAGCTTGGAATAAGACTAGAGGCTTGATGATGGCCTTTTAAGGTCTCATCCAGCTCCAGAATTCTCTGATCCAGATAGTTTTTAGACCACTCTTGGAATGGCACAAAACTGTCTTTTACTAATGCATAAATGCCTAATGAGCCTGCAAATGTAGCAGAGTTAAGAGGAGGGTGTTATTTCTATGGCCTGCGATGCTCTGGACAAGATTCCTGGAGAAGTTGGGTCTGGACCTTGACCATGAAGATGGATAGGATTTACACAGTCAGAGAAGTATAAAGTGGACATAGTGTGAGCCAAGGTGCAAAGGCAGGGATGATGAAGGAGTGCAATGAGAATGCCTAAACGAAACAACCCTCACCTAAATGTCAGCAACCATGACTGCCACCCAATAATAGAAGCAGCTTACAAGCATTTCCTGTTTTGTTATTTCTCCAAACTCCCTCCAAATCCCTGGGAAGTATGGAGGAAGTGCGTTAACCTGTGTGTTCCCAGAGCACTTTGAGCCCAGCCCTGGAAGCCACTCCATATGCACAGAGGGGCTCAGTGTAGAGTCTGCCTCCTCCGCCACTATAGGTTCCCAAGGGCAGCACCAAGCATCTCTATAGCTTTGAGGCTTGGAACAGAGAAGACACACAATAATGCTGGCTGATTAATTGACCAGAGAGAAAACAAAGGCTCAGAAAGGTTGAGTGTCTTGCCTAAGCCACACATGGTGAACAGTTGCTGGCAATGGACTTTGAGCCCAAGGCTCTAGAACCCTGTTCTTGCCACTGAACCATGTGGCCAACAGGTATAAATTAGTGCCCCAAACACAGACAGCATAGCATTGTGAGGTGGCACAGTTAGGAAGTGATTTTAACTACATAGGGTTTACGTCTATCTTTCAGCCTCTCTTTCCAAAGGGATTCCTCACTTTACACATCCCTGGGTCTTTGCATGTCCTTCCACCCAGCATGACCTTCCCCTCCATCTCTCCGTAAAATCTAGCACATCCTTCAAGGGGCAACTAGAGTGTACTTCCTCTGTGGCCGTCTTCCTGCCACCCTGACTGAGTGAGTAACCCCTCCTCTTTGCAGTCATAGCATCATGCTCAAACAGCAATTATCAGCATGTAATCTACATTGTACAGTGGGGCACTTACATAGTAGAACACATAGCAGAATCTTCCTTCTATGTCACACTGTGACCATTGAAGACAAGGGACTCTATCTTATTTATCTTTATATCCACAGCATCCAGAATAGCTCCTGGTACAATTGCACCAGGTATTTGATGAATATTTGTTGAATGAATGAAAGAATCTGCTTAGCCCTTATCCAGAGCTCTTGCTGTGATCCTATCCTAATTGTACCCTTATCTGGTTTTCAGTTGGGTTCAGCCCATGGGAAGCCTTAGCAGGAGATCAGAGGCTGGGAGGAGAGGGGTGAGCCATTAATTCCTCTCTCTGACTTTCAAGATTAGAAGGGAATGTGTTCGTTTACTAGGGCTGCCATAACAAAATATCACAGGCTGGGTGCATAAACAATAGAAATTTATTTTCTCACAGCCCTGGAGGCTGGAAATCTGAGCTCAAGATGTTGACAGGATTGGTTTCTTCTGAGGCCTCTATCTTCTCTCTGTGTCCTCACATAGTCTTTCCTCTCTACATATCTGTGTCCACATTTCTTCTTCTTATAAGAACACCAGTCATACTGAATTAGGGCCCACATTAATGACCTCATTTTAATTTAATTATCATATGGAGACCTTATCTCCAAATACAGTCACATTATCAGGTACTGGGGGATAGGGCTTCAACTTGTGAGTCTCGGAGGAACATGATTCAGCCCATCGCAGGTGCTAACGGCTCCCTGCTATTGTGAGTTCCTGGGTGCCAGTCCCTAACTCTGCCTATATCTCTGTAATAGTGTCTTTATAAATTCTATTTAGCTTGAACCCTTTACAGGTATACTGGCTGTTTTCTGGCAGTTTCTTGCAGATACAGATATTGACAGCTCTGGTGATAATAATCTACAACTACTTGTAAGTTTCTTGAGAAGAGGAATTTAATGCCAGCTGTGTGAGAAATTCAAAGTCGAGTAATAGACCCTTCTGTCTCTCTCTCTGCCTCATTCTTTTCATCTGCAAAATGAGATACTGACAACAGCCCCCCTTATAGAGTCTTGCCAGAGTCCATTGTGATAAAGGGTGGGACAGCTTTGCAAACTGGGAAGAACAGTAAGACTGAAGGTGTTTTGAGTCCACAGAGTAGATTCATTTTACAAGAAGCAAAGAATAGCTCTACAACTCTGGATTCCCAGGTTAGGAGCCTGAAGTTCAAAGCTGTAAGAATGGGGGGACATCTTAAAGGACCAGGCACTGCTGCTAACAACAGAGAGGGGTGGAATGTGGGCCATGGCATTTTTTCTGGTCTTCACTCAAGAGGGCCTCTTGTCAGGATAAGTTCTAGGAACAAGGGAGGGTCTCTTTGTTCCTCCTTGGTAATAACGACCTAGCTCATGGGTTTGCTGAGTATCTATGGAAAACAGTCCAGGCAGAGATCCTGGATACGTCTATTTATGATGACGTTGACATAGAGAGGACCAGTATGTTCATGCAAAGGCCATGTTTCCTGTTTCTATAAACATCTTCAATGTGAGAAAAGACTTTGATGGGTCCATAGGCACAATTTATGGCTTGATCTGTGCCAATATAAATCAAGCACACATACCATCCCAATGAAATCGTGCAGATCATTGATTTAGGGTAATGAGGACCTGTAAGCAGGGTGGATTCCAAGGCAACTTATTTTTGCACATTGGTTAACCTTCATCTCTGGGACCAGAAAGGGCCTATTTGGCCATGTAGTGCCATGAAAGGGGTGCAAGCTCTGGCTTAGACATTGTAGGCTCACTGCTAGCATGGGACCACATTGCTTAATACTTCAAGTCTTAGTTTCCTCCTCTTTTAAAACTGAGTTAATGGGGCTCCCTCAAGAGGCTGTTGGAGTGGGGGGTCAAATGGTGCTACTTAGTGATAAATGTCACTAAATTGCACTTAGCAGGTACTACTTTAGTGTTAGTTGATACTCCCTTTCTCTAAGATCCTGGGTTTGTTTTGTTGATGTCTTGGAATTTTAAATTGGTCTCCAAATTGGCAGAAGCTGAGCCAGTCACAGGAGTGACCTCCAAAGGCAACCTGAAGCACTTGCAATGTACTCAGAGATAATGAACATGACCCTAAGACCCCAACAGGAGCTCGTCTAACCGAGTGTTGAAGACCACAAACCCTTTCATTTGCAGTATTTCCTTTGGATGCTGATTCTCCTAACTACCTTTTGAGAGGAGTAGGTGGTTTACCTCTATTTTTAATAATAATTATAAAATAATAAAAATGGAATAATAACTTAGCATCACAGTAAGTCAAGTTGCAGTCTACAGCATTGTACTATCTCTTGGGAACTAAAATGGTTCATGGGTTACTGGGAATCCTTGATAGTTTCTAAGAAAGAGAGTGTTACAACCAACCCTCTACAACATAGTCAGATTGAGTTACCTGCGTCTTCCACGGGCCAATTATTGCCCAGCCTATTCAACATTTATTCTACTTTAGAGCAGCGGAAAATATACATGATGTATCTCCTGTCACTTAGCCTTGGGGATTGTTAGTTTCATGGATTCAGAAGATCTGACTTTGGCACCTAACTCTGCTACTCAGTCACCATGACACCACATACAATCATTTCCCCACTCTTGGTCTCAGTTTCTTCATCAGTAAAAAATCCTACCTGATTCAAAGGAGGGTAAGAGAAGACCCACTGGCCAGGCGCAGTGGCTCACGCCTGTAATCCCAGCACTTTGGGAGGGCGAGGTGGGAGGATCTCGAGGTCAGGAGATCGAGACCATCCTGGCTAACACGGTGAAACCCCATCTCTACTAAAAATACAAAAAATTAGCCGGGCATAGTCCCAGCTACTCTGGAGGCTGAGGCAGGAGAAGACGTGAACCCGGGAGACGGAGGTTGCAGTGAGCCGAGATTGCACTCCAGCCTGGGCAACAGAGCAAGACTCCATCTCTAAAAAAAAGGAGAAGACCCACTGAGAAGATAAGTGTATGGTAGTTTGCAAACTGACTATTGGGTCAAAGAAAAGGATGTTTGCTTTTTCTCCCCATACCTCATACCTCAGCCTCACCCTACTTTAGTCAAAGGCGCCAGCATCATCTACTTCCTCTTGATTTCTTCACCCACCACATGGCATTCACCAGCAAGCTCTACCAACTCTATTTCCTTAGATGTAGAGTGATTGTTTGTATTTGTAATATATTTATTTTGACATATTTTAACTTTGTATTCCAAAATTATTTGACTTATGGAAATGTTACAACACTTATATAAAAAATTGTGTTGTACCCTTCATCCAGATTTCCCAAATGTCAACATTTTGCTGGATTTGCTTCCCTGCCACCCCGTGTGTGTGTGTGTGTGTGTGTGTGTGTGTGTATGTGTGTGTCTCTACTGCTGGTCATTCAAGTTTTAGCTCAAATGTCTCCTCTTAAAGGTCATCTTCCTAAGCCCATGATCCCACCCTATGGCACCATTCCAATTGTAGTACTCTACAGAACACTGAACTCCAGCTAATATTTTTCTTGGCTCTTTATTTACTGGTTACCTCCCTGCTTCCCCCATGAGGATGGAAGTCTTATTGGAGAATTGGCCTTGTGTCCCTTGCCTTACTGCTGAATCTTCAGAGCCTAGAACAGAGCCTGTGCAGAACTGGCACTTAATCATTATTTTGCTGAATAAGTGAATTGGGGAACTGCTTGTGTCTGTCCTGTACAAGATCTTAAGTGGCATGCAGTGTGTTCTCTGTAGTCAAGGTGTAAATGTCCTTTGGAGCCTATACTGGCTGCAACATTCACTTCCATCATGAAAATATTTATCTGCTCTTGCCCTACAAGGGGATTACTTAACACACAGCTAACGTTTGGGTGTAAAGTCTCCAAGAAAGAGAAAGAAAATCAAAGAAACCACAGAAACGTGGACACACATAGGAAGAGAGTATGGCAACTTAGTTGTTTGCATTTGGGCTCTGGAGCTAGAATGCTTTGTTCACGTGCAGGTTTTGCCACTTACTGCTGTGATTTTAGACAAATTACTTAAACACTCTGTGTCTCAGTCTCCTTATGTGTAAAATAGAGATAATAAGAAATCTTCTTCATAAACTTGTTGCACAATCAAATATGTTTAAACTGCTTAGAGCCACGGCTGGCACATGGCAAGTGTTCAGTAAATGTCATCATGATAAATAGTTACATAATTGAGAGCAGGTGGTGCATACTGTCTTATAACCTTTTTTTAACTTGGCAAAATATTCTAAATATTTCATATCAACGAATAGTCTTTTACCACATGATTATTAAGGGCTAAAATTTTTCTGTCATATAGATGTACTATAAGTTTCCTGAGATATTTAAGTTGCTTCCAATTTTTTTTTATTATCAACAATACTACGTTGAACATCCTTGTACATATATCTTTTCACACATCAGCAACTATTTCTCCTTCTTGTATTCCTAGAAGTGGAATTGGTGGGTCAAAGGCTATGCATATTTTCTGACCTGAAATACAGATTCCAAGTGCCCAAGACAGGTTATCCCAACAGAGGCATTTCCTCAGAGACCCAAGTCCAGAGGCAAGGGCGGTTCCTAATCTCAGCCATTTTCCTGTCACTCTCTCCCTCTGCGCCAGCCAGGCTGCAGCCAGTGTGTCCAGCTGAGGCCACAGCAGGTTCCAATAATCCTGTTTACTCGGCTCTGGGCAGGAACACAACCTGGATGTTCTCTCTCCAGGGGATATCAGGGACTTTTGCTTTGAACTTCATCCAAGAGACTAAAAACAACCACATCCACCACGTCTGCTGTTTCACCACTGGCCTCACCCCTGTTGCTTGACCCTGTTGCCTGGCTGTGTTTACAAAAGCATCTACACTTTTTAACCCTTTTCAATCATGGCCTTCCCACCACTGTTACCCAGCAGAAAGCCTTCTGTTCTTTAAGACTTAGCTCAAGTGTCACCTCTTCCAGGAAGGCTGTTCATCTACGAACAATGCTTCCCAGTGTGGGGAAAGGAAACTCCTGGGTAGTGGAGTCAGACGCATCTGGGCAGAGCAGCAGCACACTCCCCTCCAGCTGTGTGCCCTTCTCCTTGGGTGTTTTCTTTCTAGCCTCAGCATCCTCTGCTAAACTCACAGGTAAAACGATGACCCTAACACAAACCTCTCAATGTCTTTGTAAAGTGGTGTCTTTAAGCTCCCAGTAAGATTGATACCAAGACAGGTGATTTTTTAAAAAGGAATGGTGTCCACGTGTTCTCACTCATGAATGAGAGCTGAACAATGAAAACACATGAACACAGGGAGCGGAACAACACACATTGGGGCCTGTCAGGGGTTTGGAGGAAGAAGAGCATCAGGATAAATAGCTAATGCATGCGGGGCTTAATGTCTAGGTGATGGGTTGATAGGTGCAGCAAACCACCATGACACATGTTTACCTATGTAACAAACCTGCATGTCCTGCACATGTGTCCCGGGACTTAAAATAAATTTTTTTTTAAAAAAGGAATGGTGTTTTTGTGCCGTTGGCTTATATGTTTAGTTTTTGGTCTGCTTGCTTATATTCCATGGCAAGAATGTCCTTTTCAAACTCTCCAAGAGAAGGAGGACACTCTTGTCTTTCTGACGGTCTGAACAATGCTTACATATCCTCTCCCTTATTACTCTGCTTAAAGAGAGATCCATTATTCCAGAAGGAGAAGGGTAGGCCAAGACTGGTGCTAAGGTTGAAAAGGTGGAATGGCCCGTATCTGGCAGGGATTCTCCAAGATGGCAAAATAAACTACAGTGGCTGCTGTTTCCAAAGATGGGGAGCTGCATCCTACTACCATAGAGCATCCCAACCCAGGAGGGGCAGAACCTCTGGAAAAGCAGAAGAAAAAGCCAAAAGACTTCACATGCAGAGTTGTGGTTCTAGCAGTTACAGGGAAAGCTGCCCTTGGCCTTTGACTAGCACAGCAGGAGGGCTAGGAGAACTGTCCCCTTTAAATGGGGCACAGCACAGCACAGCAGGAGTAGATGTAGACTCTCCATTCTCATACAATCCCCCTTGGCTACAGACTTTTGAATATAGGACAGATATATTTTAATAAAGAGAATCTGTTATCCTAAAGAAAATTCTCTAGGTGAGCCAATGTATAAGAATTCAGGGTCACCATGTGTTATTATTGTTTTGGGAATTTGGATTTTTTTTCTTTTTCTTTTTCTTTTTTGTTCTTTTCTTTTCTGTTTTTTTCTTTCTTTCTTTCTTTCTTTCTTTCTTTCTTTCTTTCTTTCTTTCTTTCTTTCTTTCTTTCTTTCTTTCTTTCTTTCTTTCTTTCTTTCTTTCTTTCTTTCTTTCTTTCTTTCTTTCTTTCTTTCTTTCTTTCTTTCTTTCTTTCTTTCTTTCTTTCTTTCTTTCTTCTTTTTTTTGACAAAGTTTCACTTTGTAGCCCAGGCTAGAGTGCAGTGGCACAATCTCTACTCACTGCAACCTCCGCCACCTGGGTTCAAGCGATTCTCCTGCTTCAGCCTCCCGAGTAGCTGGGACTATAGGCACACACTGCCACACCCGGCTAATTTTTGTACTTGTAGTAGAGACGAGGTTTCACTGTGTTGGCCAGGCTGGTCTCAAACTCCTGACCTCAGGTGATCCACCCCCTTTGGCCTCCCATGGCTCTAAGCAGTTTAAACATTTTACACCCAAATTGCTGGGATTACAGGCATGAGCCAGCATACCCAGCATGGATTTTTTTTTCCTTTTTATTGCTTAAGGCTTTAATGTCTATCTCAGTGGCCAGGATATTGAAGCATATACAATTTGGAGAGCTTTCTTTCAGAAAACAATTACAAATACAAAATGCCTATGGCCACTCCGTTACTCAGCAGGAGGGGAAGTGTGATGGAGACAATGTGGGAGTGGAAGGAGATGGCAATCTTCACTCTTAGAGACTAAAATATTCTATTTTGGCAAATTTTATAATAATATCTGACAGCATGGACACATTGCTAGGATCCCCCTCGGAAGAAGCCTGTGCAATGAAGGATTCAGAAGTATAAGCTTGTTAATGTCACCCTTATAGTTGGGACATCTTTATGCTGAAGACTAAAGACAGACCCTTATCTTAAACTCCATTCCTCGTAAGTCCCCAGGATTTGGGGCAACCCCTACCCCATATAACAGATAGAATTTCCTACCAAATTGGGGGTGGAGGTGGCAAGCCAGATTTATTTGATTTAGAAAAACACATAAACCTGACACTTTTGCACAAAAGCATCATAAAATATCTTAACTACATCATGCTCAGAAAATACCTTTATTTTTAAAAGGCAATCAAACAACATACTGAAGAAAATCAATCCCTTCAAGGGTCTCAGTTTCCCCATCTCAAACATGGAGATGACATCACCTACCCCATTGATTTGGTGTAAGAGTAAGATGAGCTACTACTCAGAAAGACCCTGGTACAGGAGAAGGCATTATTTTCCAAACATCTCTGTGATCCCTTGCACTTGCCTGAGTTGGTACCAAGAAGACAGAGATAAATGGAACCAGCTCCTTTTCTCAGGGCACTTATGGTCTGATCTCTCTAAGCTACTAAAGAAGTTAGCTGTGCAAAACTGAGCTTTGCAAAGCAGAGGAGGGGACAGGCTGGTGAGTGTTAGCTCACAGATAAGAGAAGCTCCCTTAGACTGAGGCCCGGAGAGTTCTAAGAGCGTTGGCTGGCTTTGGGAGCAAACTTTCATACAGCAGTCTGGTGGAGTTCATCTCAGGGCTAGATCTGCCTGGCTGTGTGTTCTTTGTAAGGTAAATCACTTACCTTCCGAGGGCCTGAGTTTCTACTGGGATTTGGTGAGAATGTCAGAAGGACTAACTGAGTTAAGCATCCAGCACAGAACAGGTGCTCAATAGGTGGAAGCATGTTCCGTTATATCCATTCCTACCCTAGTTGAGATCCTTTGGTAAAAATCATCCTCTAGTTCCCTGGGAAGTCATTTCTGGATCCTTCTTTGCTGCAAGAAGTCAATTTCAAGGTCCAAGCAGAGGGCTCAGTGTGCTTCCCTCTTGCACTTAATTCCACTGAATTCTATTTAAATGAAGCATCCTCCTTTAAGGAGGAAATTCAAACCACTTCCTCTTACTAGAGAGTTTTTGCAAGGTCTACTTTTCTTAACATCTGGCCAGATGGCCAGCTGCAAAGAGTAAGAATCCTTTGATTTGAGGGCGGTTTTGTGTCGCTTTCTCCTGGTTCCTGTGCTGACTCAGGCCAATGGGTCTGACCCACAAAGCTCAAGTCTGCCATCCCAGAGCTCTTCCCCATCATCCTCCCTGTGGGTTTCTTGCCATTAGCAACCTCCAGTCTGCCAGGCAGTCTGCTGCCAAGACAGCAGGCCTCACTCCAGTGATTTCTGTTCAAACCCAGTTTGTCTCTTGTCCCTCGATGGCTTTCCCCACTCCATCGTCTGTGTCTTTGTTGCAGCTGCCTCATGAGGGTGAGGGCCACCCTGATATCATGGCTGAGTACTGGACTGAGAATCAGAAAACCTCAGCTCTGCCAACAACATTTGCAGCCTCCGGGATGTCCCTAAGCTGCCATTTCATCATGTTCAGAATAAAGGGGGCTGGATCAGATTAGCCCAAAGGGTCCCCCAGGAAACCGTCAACACCCCATCCCCCCCATCCTACTGCTTTCTGTTGAGAACTCCGCTCCCTGTTCATTGGAACATCAAGGTTAAATTTTGGCATGTCTCTTTAAATCATTCACTGAGAACTTGCTATAAACCAGGCCTATGTGAGGCTTAAACATACTTAAATGAATGACACAGTGCCTACTCTGAAGGAGCTCACAGAGAAAAGCATGAACTTTTGGAGATTATAAGAAAGGTGATATGCTAGGAAGGAACACCTCAGAGGCCCCTCAGAGGTGTCATCCCAGATGAAGATCCACATTGAATCTTGAGGATCAAGTTGGTCTCTGTGCTCAGAGGAGGTAAGGGAAGGGTGTTCCAGGAGGAAAGAATAGCATGTGCAAAGATTGAGCGTTGGTTCAGAGATTTAGAATTAATTGACTGGGGCTGCCATGCAATGTTCACGTGTGAGCAGCAGAAGGGCCCCAGAAGGAGGACAGAGCATACAGTAGGACCTGGGGCCTCCTCCTGCAGAAAGAGAAACATCTTTCTGGTGGTCATTTGTGGAAGTCTCCAGTGCAAATCTGATGTCAAGGAGCTCACCAAATCCAGAAAGCAGAAATAACTTGTTGAGCCTGGGACTCTTAGTTTCACATTAGAATCTCTGACTAAGACTAGAAGGAAACAGTCTTAAAAGTAAGACAAATAATTAGAGTTTTAAGAGCTAAGCCTACAAATTAGGAAGAATGGGCAACTTGAATGTGAGATGTGTACCTTTGTCCTCCCTAATTAAAAGCAGACTTTGTTTTCTGGTGGAAGATAGATTGAAATCCCCCTGCCTGCTCAATAATATGGAAAACTACTTCAGAAGAGCCAGTGTTTTATGTTATAGGAAACCAAATTTAATAAGATAACAGATGAGAAAAGAGTGACGTCAATATGACTTTATCTGGGAATGCAAAGAAATAGATTGTTCATTTAGGCTGACATTGTTCCAGTCTTAATTGTAGTAGAGGAGAAAAGTGAAATTTTTCCATCTCTTGATCCTCTTTGCTTTCCCCTACCCTAATCCTGATATATTCACTCTGAAAAATAAGTGCTTGCTCAGCAAAAGAGATGAAGTTCACTTCTCTTCCCTCCATCCCTTCCCAATGTAGGAGGGAGTTGATATTTACTGATACCTGCTCTGTGCTGGCCCTTTATCTACATTTACCTTTCACCATAAGACATGATCCTACAAGGAACACACTATTTTCTCCATTGTAAAGATGAGGTAACCAAGGCTGAAAGAGATGAGGTGAATTTGTTACAGTCACACAGCTCAGGTAATACTACGTGTGATTGTTGAGTTGGGATTTTGACTCCCCTGTTTTTGCTGACACCAAAGCCCGTGCTCTTTCCACCTGTCCCTCTGGATTCCTATAATCCGGAGATTTGCTTAATGGAGAGTGGCTGTCTATGTGTAGTATCTGTGGATGAAGAGCTTTAAAGAAGTGGAATACAATAAGCTCTGTTTAACCATTCCCTCATTTTTTAATTTAACAAATAATTATTGGGCACCATGGTATGCCAGGTATTATTCTAGGCACTGAGAATACAGCAATGAATCAAACAGGTAAACCCCTGCCCTTGTGCAATTCACATTGTATGGGCAGAACAGTACAGTGGGTGTGAATAAGAACTCAGGAGGCAGATTCCTGGGATCATGTCATAACTCTGCCACTTGTGAGCTGTGTGACCTTGGACATACTATCTAACCTCTCTGTGCCTTAGTGTCCTCATCTATATAAAGGAGCAATAGTAGTATTCTCTTTTATAGCCATTGTGAGGATTGAATGAGCTGATATTTGTAAAGTAGTTAAAGCACATGAGTTTTGTTAAATGAATAGTGGAGTTTCACAGGCAATAGCAAAGTAAGTAAAATATATAGCATATCCTGCAATATTAACTGTTGAAGATAAGAAATAAATCAGGGAATGGTGATAGGGTATGCTTGTGGGTTTGCAATTTTAGATAGGGAGGCCGGGGAAGACCACACTGAAAAGGCATCATTTGAAGGAAGATTTGAAGGTCAATGAGCCAAGAGAAGCTGTGTTTATCACTTTCATTGATTGTTCAGAAGGCACAGTATTCTGTGGCCCTGTCCCTGACTCTCAAATGTCAATTATCCATTTGGGAATATGATTAACAAATTGCATTCTTATATTGTGATGTGATATAAATTATCCATGGGTTTGTAAGACAGTCATCCTCTAAAGTGTTCTCAGAGACCAGTGAAAAAGCTGTGTGCCTTGAAAAATAAAGTCATTTCTGGAATATTCCTTTTAATAAGAACAAAATGACTGAAGCCTACAAGGTGTACTCACAGTCCTTATCTCATAGATAAAGCTTGCCCCGGCTGGCTCCAGGGCCTGTACATGGTGTACCTATATTCTGCTCTTGACTTTCTCTCAAACCACATCTGGCTAAAATCCTTTGGTCTTGGGAGTGGAGGTGGGTACAAGGAAACTGTTGAGTTTAGTTCTCTATTGAGTGAAAACAATCAAATCTAGCCACATTCCTGTTGCCCTGACCATACAGGAATACCACTCAAATGTACTTTCTGGATGCCAGAATGCTTGAAGAACAATTTCATTTTGATATATTCCCTTTATGCTCTCTGAAAATTGTCTTTTTTATGCTTCTGAGGCCCACAATTTAGGGACATGTTTAACAAATTGCAACCTTGTTATTATGATGTGAAATAAGAACACTGGCCTGGGAGACTGGAGATAAGTCTTCAAGTCCTGGCTCTGCTGTTAACTCCCACGTGTCTGTACATGTCACAACTTCTGTCTCTGGCTCTAGTTTCTCTGTACACACAGTGAAGCGGTAAGGAGGAAGACACACAAACAAACACGCACACACACACACACACACACACACACACACTGCTCTTTATTGCTTGTCTTCTCTGGGCCAGGCATATCACATATATTATTTCATGCTAAAAATCACAACAATCCTAAGAAGTCAGTATTATTATTATTATACTTACAGGTATAATTTAGTAAGTGGGAAGAGGCAGAAGAATATTGGAACTCAGACCTGACTCTAGCTATTAAGCTGCAATTGCTTAGGCTTTTGCTGTAGACTGAATGTCTGTGTCCCTCCAAAATCCATGTGTTAAAACCTAACTCCAAGGTAATGGTATCAGGAGGTGGGGTCTTTGGGAGGTAGTTAGGTCAAGAGGGCATGACCCTCATGAGGGAATAATCCTCATGAGTGGGATTAGTGCCCTTATAAAAAAGACCCCAGAGAGGTCCCTTATCCCTTCCATCATGTGAGGATACAGCAAGAAGATGGCGGTCCATAAACCAGGAAGTGGGCCCTCACCAGACACTGAGTCTGCTGGCAACTTGGTCTTAGACTTTCCAGCCTTCAGAACTGTGAGAAATAATTTTCTGTTGTTTATAAGCCACCTAGCCTATGGTATTTTTGTTATAGCAGCTGAACTAAGGCAGCTTGCTAAGCATCATTCCAAGACTGCAATTCCCTGATTTTAGAGACTGTAGGAACTATTCAGTCTGGCTTCCTAGGGAAGTCACTCCATCCCCTCAATTATTTGGTGTGAATTGTAGACAATCTCTCTTTTCCTCCAGTGCCTATGTCATGGGTTTTATTCCAGCTATGAAGACTCTCTGGCAAAGGGAAAACACAATGGCAGATTGGCATTCAAGTGACAGAAACTGTCCAGGGCAATTATCCATTCCATCATCTTGCCCCTGGAGGCAGACCAGACTAAACACAGGAACAGTGCTTTAGAGGAGGGTGAAAAGCCTTCGTAGGGTGACCCCACTGGCCTTGAAAGAAGCCTGAGTCTTCAGGGATCAGCCTTGTCCTCTGGCATCAGCCTTGAGACCGTTCTCTGGAAATGCTTTTCCATGTCAGTGCATAGGGCAGACAGGTGATGTGGTCTCAGGAAGAAACACTAAACCAGGAGTCAAGAGAGCTGGCCCTGTCCTGAAGCTCCCTCTGATTCTCCACGTGACTTTAGGCAAATTGAGTCCCACATTATTACAAAGAAAAGGTGGTGTAGGGTAACAGGCAGCTTAGAGTTTGGGAATAAAGCATCTGGGTTTAGATACTGGTTCTGCCACTTATCAGGGGGATATGAGATGTGGCCTTTCAGCCAAGCCACTTAGCATCTAAGCTGGAGTTCCTCAGCTCTAAACTTAAGTCTGGACTGGAAGACCAAGCATTAGGCTTCGCTGCTTACTAGCTGTGAGGCAGTGAGGCAGTAACTTAGCTTCTCTGGGCGTCAGCTTCCTCATCTGTAAAATGCATAGCATAATAAAGGCTATTGTGAGAATTAAAGATCATGTATACAAAGTGTCTCACAGAGCGTGGGCCCTCAGTACCTTCTAGGACCAACCCATTGTCCCTCTCCACTCAACGTGGATCAAACTGTCCAAGAAATGCTTCAGAACTCCACATCATTTAGAAAGGTGGTCTGTTAGGAGCCAGACTATGTTCAGAGACTAGTTTGCAAATTCCATCTCTATGAGCTAACTCATTCAAGACTAGCAATGGAGGTGTACAGCTGGGTTCCATGCCCACTCAGTGGGTTGTACAGAGTTCTGTATCACTTTGGACGTTCCACAGAAGAAGTAGGTGTGGATATAACAGGGCAGTTCAACAATGGTGAGGCCTAAATGGACAATGGGACTTCCTATTTATAAAAAGCAGAAATCAGGTCATTCTGAGTCCAGCAATTGGGTGGCTTCCTCCAGGTCAAGATCCCAAGTCTGGGCTTTGGCATACTCAAACAGAAAGAAAAGATGGGTTCCCTCCATTCCTTTCTGGTTTAATTTTATTTTCCTTTGTGTACCTGACTCAAGCAGAGAAAAACACGATGGCATTCAAAAGTTATGTCTATCATTGTTAACATTCTCAGCTGAGACCCAGAGAGGTCAGAGAAGGAACAAATACTTACCAGATGCTCCCTTCTAAAGAGGTAGGCAGATGACATGTGCTGGCAGTAAGGAAAGTAGATACTATCCCTCCCCTCAGAAAGCATAGACTCAAGGGCAAATTCAGGTGAATTGTATGGATGATTCTAAGACATTCTTGTGTTGAGACATTACTGTATCCAGTGGATTTATGTCAGGGCTTGCATTGCCTTCTCGTCTGCAGGAGAGCCGACCCCTTGTCCAGGTGTCCAATCATGCTTCAGGATGTCACAGGGGCTCTGATTAGCTGTTTGGGTGGGGTCCTATCAGGGTGCAAATGATGAAAAGGATCACTTCCTTCTGGGGTCAGGAATTGCATGGATAATTGCATGCACCCTGATAAGACCCCACCTGAACAGCTAATCGGAGCCCCTCTGACACCCTGAAGCATGATTGGACACTTGGACAAGGGTCTGCTCTCCTTCTGAAGACAAGAAGCCAATGCAAGCCCTGATATAAATCCACTGGATACAAAAACGTCTCAACACAAGAATGTGTTAGAATCATCCTTACAATTCACTAGCCTGGGAATAGTGCAAACCAAAACCAGACAAGAACTCTGACCTCAAAGAACATCCACTCTAATGGAGAGAAAAAAAGACATCTGAATGAATGCCCATGGTAATTTAGCATAAATTAAGTGATGTGGAAAAAAAATAAAATGGGAATGAGAATGAATGTTTGTTGGTGGCGGAGGAGGACTGCTTTCCCTAGAGTGTTTAGGGAAAGTCTCTCTGAAGAGGTGACACAGAGTGAGACCTGAATGATGAGAAGCAGGCAACCATGGGGAGATCTGGGGACACTCTGCAGGCAGGAGGAACTGCAAAGGTCCTGGGACAGGCATCAGCTGGTGTATTCAAGAGACAGAAATCAGGCCATCATGGCTAGAATGGAGGGAGCCATGGGGTATATATTTAGTAGAAGACCCAGAAGGGCCCATTCACATGCTTCAGAGAATGTAGCTTTTCCTGTGTGAAGAGGATTTAAGGACAGAATGTGGAATAAGGCAGAGGTTTTACTGTCAGAGTTAAAAGGGTAGCTTTCCTGGGAGAGTCAGCTTGATGTAAAGGGGATATCCCCACTCTGCCTCTTCCCAACTGTGTGAACTTGGGCAAGTGATTTAATCTCTCTGGACCTCACCCTCCTCCTGCATACAGTGGAGATGATGATATCTGCCTCACAGACCAGAAGTGAGACTAGACAATAAGCACTGGCTCATCCCCTTCTCCTGGTAGATAGTTAAAAAAAAAAAAAAATCACCCTGGGGACCATGGGGCATCTGGCATGCTCTTGAAGCTAGTCACTAGCAAGGTTTTGACAACTTATTTCTTAACAAATAGATCATCATCTGTCCATCTCAATGAATGGTATACTGTTCAAGCAGTACCCGTACCTCTTCAGGATCTGC
Organism: Homo sapiens; assembly: GCF_000001405.40. NCBI lineage: Eukaryota > Metazoa > Chordata > Mammalia > Primates > Hominidae > Homo > Homo sapiens. The sequence goes on along the minus strand of NC_000001.11, from coordinate 58,972,504 downwards.
ACAGTTAAAACTACTGGGCTGCCCTCAGGTGATGTAGGTCCATCCAAGGACCACACTTTGATTAGCAAGGATTTAGAGCCAAGGGGCTTCCATAGCACAGACAATATTGGATCCACCACCAAAAGGTTACAAATCAACAGTATGCTTTTAGTAGTTTATTACTGAATTCATTAGATAAATAAATGTTCCTACAGTGCCTACTATGCACTAGACATCATTCTGGGAAGTAGGATTTCAGTGGCAAACATTGATCAGGGCTTGTTCTCAAACAACACTTATCCTGTAGCAGACAGCCAATTAAACAAGCAATTAAGATCATCTAAGTGCAGAGCCTGGGGGTGTCCAGTGTGTTAGCTTGAGAACGTCAGGGAAGATCTCCTAGATGAAGTGACACTAAGGTGGAGAGCTGGCCCTGAGGAGGTGTGCAGGCAGAGGGAACAGCATCACCAGGGGCCAAGGCCACCCAGCCAGTCAGAGGCACAACCCTGATTTAAATCAGGTCTCTTATCTAAAGACTTGCTCTTACTAGTATCTTCCATGCTGTATGAATCAAGTCTTGCAAAAGAGCAGCTGCTAGCTGTCCTTCCCCAGCGATGTCAGAGCAGCCACTCCCGACTGGAAAGATATCTGTTCTGAGCAGAGGTCTCGGCATCACCTGACAGGCATGGCCATTACGAAATTTGCCTCCACACCAGACATGTGGCACCACAAACACCATCCAGGCATTGCTTCAAACAACCTTCCTCCCAAAGACTCCTGACTGGGAAATGTGATTGCCCTCTGATTGCTGCTAATAATAGCCTTATTTTTTTTAAGCAACAATGAACTTTGAAACTTGGGTGATGGTAGCTGGTCACATCAGCTTGGGTGAAGTTCATCAGAAAGTAAAAGTCCAGCGACCTAGAAGTTTCCAGGACTCTCTAAGAGGGAAAGATACAGAAATTCACCTGAAACAAGGACCCTCTATGTGGCAGACAGTGTACACGCCTTATTTACATTAAGTAGAGGTGACACAGACCTGGCATGAAACTTCGAATGTAGCTGTGTGACTTTGGGCAAGTCACTTAACATCTATCAATCTCAGTTTCCTCATCTATTAAATGGGAGATGGATTCCTACCTTACCTGTCTTATGTGTGATGATGTTCATAAAATGCTAAGCTCAGTGAGTGGTACATTGTCAGCACTCAGTAAGTGAGGATGGGAAATAGTCTTATTACACCCCAGAGAGGTAAGAACAGATGAGGAGACAGATGCAAAAAGGTTAAGCGATTTCTCTAGTCTCCAAAGCAGGTAAATGATAATTCAGATTTGAAGTCAAGTCTACCTTCAAATCCTAGAATCTTTCTTCAGTTCTTCATGTTCTGTTTCTTTTAGAATTATACCCTTTGCCATCTGACTTTGCTGTGCCTCCCCCTAGAGTGGGCAAATGTGTCTTCCTGTGCAGTGATATTGGGCTTGACCATTGACTTGCCCTGGGCAAAGTTATGGGGGTGGAAACAACAGCATGACAGTTCTGGGCTGAGACCTCAAGAAGCTTGATCTGTTTCTACTTATCTCTTGCTTCTGCTCCTGTCTCATGTCTCATTTACCACCATGAAAAGGGCAAGTCTGAGGTTCTTTCAGCCTGGCCCCCAGAATGAGACAAAAGAAGCAGACTCAAACTGACCCAAAGCCCTGGGCCTGCACCTTGAACCTGAGGTATCCAGCCAACTCTCAGTGAGAAAAATAAATGCTTGTAGTTGTAAGCAACTGAGTTTCGTGTGGTTTGTTACCCAGCATGATGGTGGCAATATCTGACTAATACACTGTCATAAAAAAGTACAGCCTAGCCAGGCCAGCACTGCAAGTATTTATTGAGTACCTGCTGTGTGTGACGGAAGTAAAACAGAATTTAAAATTATTTCTACCCATGAAGATGGTTTTATCATTCTTCCTATCTCTTTTGCCAAACATTGTCATGACATAGAGTGGAAAACCACAAATCTTTATTTTATTTTTTAAAAATGAAATAAATGTTTATATGTATTTATATTGTTGAAGAGAAAAGCATAGCTTCATTAAAAGATAACGAGCAATATTGAGGCACATATTTTCTAGGAACTCAGCAGTGGATATTAGATTAGCCTACTGAGAATTTGTAAGAGTTGGCTAGTCCTTAAGGGATGGGAAGGATTTAAAGAGGCTGGACATAGCCCTCCAGCCAAATCACACAGCTTTCACCTTCAGGTTTATTTGCTGGGGTGGAGAAGAATGTGACAGACCTGAGTTCAAATCTTCAGGCTGCCAGTTTCTAGCTGTGGGACCTTGAGCAAGTCATCCATCCCTGACCTTCAGATGAGCTCCCCTAGGTTTCTTTCCTGTACCTGGAAGGGCCCCCTCCAGACCTTTGTATGCCTGTAAAGTCCTACTTGACTCCTTCTCCCCCAAGAACTAAGGCTTCTCCCTCTTTTGTCCCAGCCACACCGGACTGAAATGATCTGGGCCCAAGGGTCCTCTGGGATTCTTTTCCATGCATGTGTCTTTTTCTCTTTTTTCTTGGAGGAGAACCACAGCTTTATTAATAACACTTTAAAAATTTTTATACACATACAAATGTATAATTCAAATATGACAAATATAAAAATTAGTTAATTCTAGGTGGTGGAACAAATGGTAATTTGTCAAGTTGTCTGTGCTTTGTTTTTAATATTTTTGAAACTACATGTTTACTGTAAAATAAAGCCAACTATTATATTCATTTAGAAAACAATATTCCTCTTCCTCATTCTCTCACCTGATTATCACTTTTGTTTGTTTGTTTGTTGTTTGCTTTAATTTTTTAATTTTTTTATCTTTTAAGTTCTGGGGTATAAGTGCAGGATGTGCAGGTTTGTTGCATAAGTAAATGTGTATCACAGTGGTTTGTGGTACCTATCAACCCTTCACCTAGGTGTTAACCCTAGCATGCATTAGCTCTTTTCTCTAATGCTTTCCCCACTCCCCTCCCCCAACAGGCCCCAGTGTGTGTTGTTCCCCTCCCTGTGTCCATGTGTTCTCATTGTTCAGCTCCCACTTATGAGTGAGAACATGTGGTGTTTGGTTTTCTGTTCCTGTGTTAGTTTGCTGAGGATAATGGCTTCCAGCTTCATCCATGTCCCTGCAAAGGACATAATCTCATTCCTTTTTATGGCTGCATAGTATTCCATGGTGTATATGTACCATATTTTCTTTATCTAGTCTATCATTGATGGGCATTTGGGCTGACTTTTTTCTACAGCAGCCACTGAGCTAGCTCAGAATGGGGCAGCCCCTTTAGCAACCCAGGATGCCCAGTGCCAATCTCAGTGCCTGGCATGGAATAGACTGTCAGTAAATAGTTGCTGACTTGAACTAAACTGAATGGAATTGCTCCAAATATTCACCAGGAATAAATTATTTTAAAGTACAATTTTGACATTGTTTTTAAAAACGATCTTAGAGCTAAATACATAACTAAAAAAAAAAATACATGCTGAAAAACACATCCACACAAACAAACATGTATGCAAACAAACATTTGCCAAACACAACTCTAGGAGGCTTTTGCAGACTTGTCTGCCATTTAAGGCCTGTAATTTCCCTCTTGGCTGACACTGGCTTTGGCCTGGGCCATGTTTCACAGACTCCTGGCAGGCAGCCTCGTTGGGCTTTGCTTAGCTTTTTTTTTTTTTTTTTTTTCTTTCATCAGACTTGAAACTGAAGCGACAGGACTTTCTGAAACCTTCTGTCAGCTGTAGCTGCCACGCTTCATGTAACCTCCTTACCCCTCCCAGGTTCTGTGGCTTTATAAATGTGTCTAGAGGTCCAGGAACAAGGTAGTAAACAGTGGATTCCTTCTAGAAGGAATAAAGAGGGTTCAGGAGGCACCACCCAGTCTGGGGACTGCCTGTGAACCAGGCCAGGCCCCTACTCCCCCAGAGCAGATTAGATCTGATGGTCTGGACTGCTGGCCAACTTTCAGCATGAAAAAGGTAGAGATACTGGAGAGGAAGTAAAGGAACATGAAAACAAAACCAAATGAACTCTGTTGTGCTGCTGACATGGGTAAAACTTGTATGAACCTAACTGCTGGAGGAAAGTGGGGGCAGCTGGTTTATTCTACGGAGTTCTAGTGTGAGATGCAGCTCATGTTTCTATGCCAATTTCTAATGAGCAAGCTACCCCACTTCTCTGAGCCTCATTTCCTTATCCATGAACTGGATAATATCTACCTTGCAGGGCCAATGTGAGGTTGAATGAATTCATGTTTGTAAGGAGATAAGCGCTTCATAGAAGGTTAATAAATAATAGTTTTTTTTATGGTAAAAGAGCCCCCAATCACAAAACTAGAAGACCCCATTAGAGGGATCCAGTTCCCACTCCTCCCTACACCACTTAAAGTGTAGCCTTCTCCATAGTTGCCTCTCCCAGCCCACGCTCATAGGCTCCCCCAGGGAGCCTGCTGCATCCTGGGGAAATTCTCGCTACTAGAAAGTTTTTCCTTGGGCTGAATCAAAATTGATGTCTCTGCAGCTTTCACCTATTGGGCCTTCCCCCTCAAGAACACTGAAAACAAGTCTATACCCTCCACCTCTCTGCAGTCTTCAGCATAGAGGACAGCTCTCAAGCCCTCTTTGAGGTGTCAACAGAAGTCTTGAGGCTTTAGTTAGGTATATACACATACAATATACATATATACTATATATATACACACATATATATACATATATATGTATGTATATTGTATGTGTATATGTGTATGTATATATCTATATATGTATGTGTATATGTATCCCATACATACGAAGAAAGAGAGAGTGTAAGGTATATTTATATACACTCATATGTAAGTATGTAGAGGCAACTACAAGGGCCTCTGTAGGCAAATACATGTGTACCTATCCAGGACTTGCGAGGTCCAGGAGGGCTTCTTAGAGGAGGTAATGTTTAACCTGAGTAGGCAGTGTAAAGTGCATGTGCAGTCCCACAGCTAATAGTGAGGAACCCAGCCTCAGGAGCATGCCCCTCTGCTGTAGCAGTGGGTGACAGTTGGCATCAACAAAGTGTGTGAAGCTAGATATCATTATTGTCCATTTGTAATTGTTTGTTATTATCCAAATTAACCTTTCTAGGCCCAGTTTCCTCAGTAGCCTTGGCCCATTCTTCTGACAGCATGTTTCTTGATTTGCCTCTGTAATAAACAGGGAGACCTGGGTTTGAGTCAGGCTCTGTCACTCACAAGCTGGGCAGCCACTCCTCTGGGCCTTGGTTTCCACATTGCGAGATGAGAACCTACTGCCCAGGTTGCTGGTGGATTGAATGAGGCATCTTTGGAAGGTGGCCCAGCACATGGCAGATGTTTGGCAGAAGCTTACTTTCTTTTCTAGTTTGACAAGATGATGCCGGCTGATCTGATATTAGATATTAATAGTTGATGATGGCATAATGTGTTATACCTTCTGAGCCATTTGCATTTGCCTAGAGAGTACCAGCCAGCTTAGTGATATGTCGTTGCCCAGTAAGCTTAGAACCCTGGGAGTGAGTGAGCACTGAGGCCAAGGAACTCACCCTAGAGAGGAGGAGAGGGTCTCAGGGGCTGACTGCGATAGATGCTACAACAAAGTTTGGGGCACACAAAAGGAAGGAGGAATTTCATTCAAAGTGGAGTGATTGGCAGAGGCTTCATGATGGAGGTGGCAGATGTCTCTGATGGTGGCCATGCCATAATCTCAAATAGAAACTATTGCATCAGTCTCCTAAATATCTTCCCTGGGCTGCACTCACTCTCTAGAACCTGCTCTGCTCATGAAAGATAAAACGATCTTTCTAAAATTACAAATCAGATAATGGCACTTCCCAGCCCCCAAATCTGCCATGACTTGTCTTTGTTCTTGCAATAAAATCACAACCTCCCCACCCCCATGGCCCCTGAGGCCACCTGTGATGGAGCCTGCTTCCTCTGCAGCTCTGCAGTCAAATAGGCAGGGCCTATGGGAGAAGTGCCCACATGGGACCTCTGCCTGTCTTCTTGGAAGGCACCAAGATACCAGGGGGCAAGGAGAGGGGCAGATTTGTGTTCTGCTCTTGGCGAGGGTGGAGTGTCTCTAAGGTACTTTGCAGACCCTCCGTGGAAGTACTGATCAGAATCATGGCAGGAAACAAGTCTTACACAGAAGGGCTTAGTTGAAAAGAATTTAGTAACAGGATTGTGTTTAGAGGTCAGGGCAAGGTGAAGGAAGCCAGCAAGAGAAGTTGATGCACTCCCAAGCTAGCAACAGTGGAAGGCCCGTACCTCTCTAAGGGGGAAGGGGAAGTGAAGGAATGTGTTCTGGGATGGCTGAGAGAGCTGGAGCTAAGAAAGAGAACCTGCCCACCCCTGCCCCGGGAGTTACCACCATACTGGTCACAGCCAATGCAGGGACTGCAGCAAGAAAGGAGTTCAGGAAGGAGGGAGGCATAGACCCCTGGGTTCTCTCTCCTCCCAGCCTCCTATCTCCCACCAAAGCTTCCCTTTGACCAAATCTAGCTAGAAGTTAGTGGATAAGGGAGTCTGAGTGATGTATTATAGTTCTTAGGCATTAGCTCTCTAGGGCTCAAGGCCTGCAAAGAAGGGCAGTAAAATGGATTGAATAGGAAGGACCACAAAAAGGAATTAACAACACAGCACATGTCCAAGCATCCTGCAAGGAGAATAGGAATCACTAACCCTGAGTGGGTAAACTCTTCCCCAAGAAAGAGAATGCCATTTAAGGGGAGAAGTGAGCCTGGCTGACAGGTAGCTTTCCCAGCCAGGCTGCCGTGTTCACATAGCATCCAGGTCCTGTGTTCAGTGCATCTGCCAGAATATTCCACCCAGCCACAGATATTTCATACTTTGGCCCACACAGAGTTGTGGAGGGCAAAGGAGTTGTTCTCTAATGCTGGACTTTGCCCATTTTCCCCAGGACCAAGATGTGGGCAGGTGTTCTGGGTGCCACCACTAGAGAGGCAGAGATTATTGAGATCCAATAATAAAAATAGTGAGAACAGTAACAGTGGTAACAATAATACAGGATATTATTGTTATCACTGTAACAGTCACATGAATTAAGCTTTTCCTATGTGCCCAGGAGTGTGTTCATTCTATTAAGTTATGCAATCTTCTCCCAAACCCTAGGAAGTGGTGGCTATTATTAATCCTATTTAAAAGATGAGACCAAGGCCCAGAGTGGGTAAGTAGCTTGCTGAGCCCCCTCAGAGTGGATGGAGAAGTCAAACCCAGGTCTGCTGCCTGCAAAGGTAGGCTCTTAGCCACCATGCCAGACTGTCCTCAAAGACACCTGGAGCCCATAGACATATGAGAGAGAAGCAGAATTCCTGCCTATGGCTTATGCAATCTTTCATGGTCAAATGACCAAAGCTTGCCTCTGCAGAGTAGTCTTGCAACACTGGCCCTGCACACTTGACTTTTCAGCTGTGCTAATCTCTGTGGTATCTAGAGCATGCTCAGCTTTCTCTCACCCCCGGGACTTTGCACAGGCTGTTCCCTTTGTTGAGGACATTGCTTTCCCTCTTAATCCTCTCAAGGCTTGACTAGCTCCACTGAGATTTGCTATCACTTGCTCCACAAAGCCCTGCTGGACATTCCAAGTCCTGAATAGGGGCTCCAGTCCTGGATAGGGGCTTCTCTTGGGAGACCTCACAGCCCCTTACAATGCTCCACCACAGGACTCAGCCTCTGCAAGCCCTGTAAAGGCCAAGACATGCCTTTTTTTTTTTTTTGCTTATACCTCTGTGTTCCTAGATCCCAGCCCAGGGCCTGGCACCTAACAGGGGCCTGATAAAGAGGTAGATAAGGTAGTTGAATGTTGGCACAGACTCGGCCACCCACAGCCTGGCACACACCATGGCCCACACACTGCCAACCACACCTGCTACTACAGGAGGGAGGAGGAGGGGAGCAAACAGCAGCCAGGATCTGGAGGAGGGGCTCCAAGAGCAGGAGCTGCTGAGCTGATATCCACACATGGAAAGGCTTTTGATGGGTATAGTAGAAAGGAAAATGTATTCCAGGCAGAAGGAAGTGCACGTGCAAAGGCCTGGAAGAATAAAGATGCATAGCAAGACACAAGGAGGGGCCATGGGAGATGAGACCTGGAAAGGAGACAGGGCTGGGTGAGGGAAGTCCGGTTTGGGGAAGAGGGGGCCAAATTATGTGGTGAAGAGCACATGCTTGGGTTTTATTTGTTTATTTTTATTATGCTTTAAGTTCTAGGGTTCATGTGTACAATGTGCAGGTTTGTTACATATGTATGCATGTGCCATGTTGGCGTGCTGCACCCATTAACTCGTCATTTACATTAGGTATTTCTCCTAAGGCTATTACTCCCCTCTCCCCTCACCCCACGACAGGCCCTGGTGTGTGATGTTCCCCACCCTGTGTCCAAGTGTTCCCATTGTTCAATTCCCACCTATGATTGAGAACATGTGGTGTTTGATTTTCTGTCCTTGTGATAGTTTGCTCAGAATGATGGTTTCCAGCTTCATCCATGTCCCTACAAAGGACATGAACTCATCATTTTTTATGGCTGTAAAAGTATTCCATGATGTATATGTGCCAGGTTTTCTTAATCCAGTCTGTCACTGATGGACATTTGGGTTGGTGACAAGTCTTTGCTATTGTGAATAGTGCTGCAATAAACATATGTGTGCATGTGTCTTTATAGTAGCATGATTTATAATTCTCTGGGTATATACCCAGTAATGAGATGGCTGGGTCAAATGGTATTTCTAGTTCTAGATCTTTGAGGAATCCCCACACTGTCTTCCACAACGGTTGAACTAGTTTACAGTCCCACCAACAGTGTAAAAGTGTTCCTATTTCTGCACATCCTCTCCAGCACCTGTTGTTTCCTGACTTTTTAATGATCACCATTCTAACTGGTGTAAGATAGTATCTCATTGTGGTTTTGATTTGCATTTCTCCGATGGCCAGTGATGATGAGCATTTTTTCATGTGTCTGTTGGCTGCATAAATGTCTTCTTTTGAGAAGTGTCTGTTCATACCCTTTGCCCACTTTTTGATGGGGTTGTTTGTTTTTTTCTTGTAAATTTGTTTGAGTTCATTGTAGATTCTGGATATTAGCCCTTTGTCAGATGAGTAGGTTGCGAAAATTTTCTCCCATTTTGTAGGTAGCCTGTTCAGTCTGATGGTAGTTTCTTTTGCTGTGCAGAAGCTCTTTAGTTTAATTAGATCCCATTTGTCAATTTTGGCTTTTGTTGCCATTGCTTTTGGTGTTTTAGACATGAAGTCCTTGCCCATGCCTATGTCCTGAATGGTAATGCCTAGGTTTTCTTCTAGGGTTTTTATGGTTTTAGGTCTAACGTTTAAGTCTTTAATCCATCTTGAATTAATTTTTGTTTAAGGTGTAAGGAAGGGATCCAGTTGCAGCTTTCTACATATGGCTAGCCAGTTTTCCCAGCACCATTTATTAAATAGGGAATCCTTTCCCCATTGCCTGTTTTTCTCAGGTTTGTCAAAGATCAGAGAGTTGTAGATATGCAGCGTTATTTCTGAGGGCTCTGTTCTGTTCCATTGATCTATATCTCTGTTTTGGTACCAGTACCATGCTGTTTTGGTTACTGTAGCCTTGTAGTATAGTTTGAAGTCAGGTAACGTGATGCCTCCAGCTTTGTTCTTTTGGCTTAGGATAGACTTGGCGATACGGGTTCTTTTTTGGTTCCATATGAACTTTAAAGTAGTTTTTTCCAATTCTGTGAAGAAAGTCATTGGTAGCTTGATGGTGATGGCATTGAATCTATAAATTATCTTGGGCAGTATGGCCATTTTCACGATATTGATTCTTCCTACCCATGAGCATGGAATGTTCTTCCAATTGTTTATATCCTCTTTTATTTCCTTGAGCAGTGGTTTGTAGTTCTCCTTGAAGAGGTCCTTCACATCCCTTGTAAGTTGGATTCCTAAGTATTTTATTCTCTTTGAAGCAATTGTGAATGAGAGTTCACTCATGATTTGGCTCTCTGTTTGTCTGTTATTGGTGTATAAGAATACTTGTGATTTTTGTACATTGATTTTGTATCCTGAGACTTTGCTGAAGTTGCTTATCAGCTTAAGGAGATTTTGGGCTGAGACAATGGGGTTTTCTAGATATACAATCATGTCGTCTGCAAACAGGGACAATTTGACTTCCTCTTTTCCTAATTGAATACCCTTTACTTCCTTCTCCTGCCTAATTGCTCTGGCCAGAACTTCCAACACTATGTTGAATGGGAGTGGTGAGAGAGGGCATCCCTGTCTTGTGCCAGTTTTCAAAGGGAATGCTTCCAGTTTTTGCCCATTCAGTATGATATTGGCTGTGGGTTTGTCATAGATAACTCTTATTATTTTGAGATACGTCCCATCAATACCTAATGTATTGAGAGTTTTTAGCATGAAGGGTTGTTGAACTTTGTCAAAGGCCTTTTCTGCATCTATTGACATAATCATGTGGTTTTTGTCTTTGGTTCTGTTTATATGCTGGATTACATTTATTGATTTGCGTATATTGAACCAGCCTTGCATCCCAGGGATGAAGCCCACTTGATCATGGTGGATAAGCTTTTTGATGTGCTGCTGGATTCGGTTTGCCAGTATTTTATTGAGGATTTTTGCATCAATGTTCATCAAGGATATTGGTCTAAAATTCTCTTTTTTGTTGTGTCTCTGCCCGGCTTTGGTATCAGGAAGATGCTGGCCTCATAAAATGAGTTAGGGAGGATTCCCTCTTTTTCTATTGATTGGAATAGTTTCAGAAGGAATGGTACCAGTTCCTCCTTGTACCTCTGGTAGAATTCGCCTGTGAATCCATCTGGTCCTGGACTCTTTTTAGTTGGTAAGCTATTAATTATTGCCACAATTTCAGATCCTGTTATTGGTCTATTCAGAGATTCAACTTCTTCCTGGTTTAGTCTTGGGAGAGTGTAAGTGTCGAGGAATTTATCCATTTCTAGATTTTCTAGTTTATTTGCGTAGAGGTGTTTATAGTATTCTCTGATGGTAGTTTGTATTTCTGTGGGATCGGTGGTGATATCCCCTTTATCATTTTTTATTGCATCTATTTGATTCTTCTCTCTTTATTTCTTTATTAGTTTTGCTAGCAGTTTATCAATTTTGTTGATCCTTTCAAAAAACCAGCTCCTGGATTCATTAATTTTTTGAAGGGTTTTTTGTGTCTCGATTTCCTTCAGTTCTGCTCCGATTTTAGTTATTTCTTGCCTTCTGCTAGCTTTTGCATGTGTTTGCTCTTGCTTTTCTAGTTCTTTTTATTGTGATGTTAGAGTGTCAATTTTGGATCTTTCCTGCTTTCTCTTGTGGGCATTTAGTGCTATAAATTTCCCTCTACGCACTGCTTTGAATGTGTCCCAGAGATTCTGGTATGTTGTGTCTTTGTTCTCATTGGTTTCGAAGAACATCTTTATTTCTGCCTTCATTTCCTTATGTACCCAGTAGTCATTCAGGAGCAGGTTGTTCAGTATCCCTGTAGTTGAGCGGTTTTGAGTGAGTTTCTTAATCCTGAGTTCTAGTTTGATTGCACTGTGGTCTGAGAGACAGTTTGTTATAATTTCTGTTCTTTTACATTTGCTGAGGAGAGCTTTACTTCCAAGTATGTCGTCAATTTTGGAATAGGTGTGGTGTGGTGCTGAAAAGAATGTATATTCTGTTGATTTGGGGTGGAGAGTTCTGTAGATGTCTATTTGGTCCACTTGGTGCAGAGCTGAGTTCAATTCCTGGGTATCCTTGTTAACTTTCTGTCTTGTTGATCTGTCTGATGTTGACAGTGGGGTGTTAAAGTCTCCCATTATTATTGTGTGGGAGTCTAAGTCTCTTTGTAGGTCACTCAGGACTTGCTTTATGAATCTGGGTGTTCCTGTATTGGGTGCACATATATTTAGGATATTTAGCTCTTCTTGTTGAATTGATCCCTTTACCATTATGTAATGGCCTTCTTTGTCTCTTTTGATCTTTGTTGGTTTAAAGTCTGTTTTATCAGAGACTAGGATTGCAACCCCTGCCTTTTTTTGTTTTCCATTTGCTTGGTAGATCTTCCTCCATCCTTTTATTTTGAGCCTATGTGTGTCTCTGCACGTGAGATGGGTTTCCTGAATACAGCACACTGATGGGTCTTGACTCTTTATCCAATTTGCCAGTCTGTGTCTTTTAATTGGAGCATTTAGTCCATTTACATTTAAAGTTAATATTGTTATGTGTGAATTTGATCCTGTCATTATGATGTTAGCTGGTTATTTTGCTCGTTAGTTGATACAGTTTCTTCCTAGTCTCGATGGTCTTTACATTTTGGCATGATTTTGCAGTGGCTGGTACCTGTTGTTCCTTTCCATGTTTAGTGCTTCCTTCAGGAGCTCTTTTAGGGTAGGCCTGGTGGTGACAAAATCTCTCAGCATTTGCTTGTCTGTAAATTATTTTATTTCTCCTTCACTTATGAAGCTTAGTTTGGCTGGATATGAAATTCTGGATTGAAAATTCTTTTCTTTAAGAATGTTGAATATTGGCCCCCACTCTCTTCTGACTTGTAGAGTTTCTGCCGAGAGAGCCACTGTTAGTCTAATGGGCTTCCCTTTGTGGGTAACGCGACCTTTCTCTCTGGCTGCCCTTAACATTTTTTCCTTCATTTCAACTTTGGTGAATCTGACAATTATGTGTCTTGGAGTTGCTCTTCTCGAGGAGTATCTTTGTGGCATTCTCTGTATTTCCTGAATTTGAATGTTGGCCTGCCTTGCTAGATTGGGGAAGTTCTCCTGGATAATATCCTGCAGAGTGTTTTCCAACTTGGTTCCATTCTCCCTGTCACTTTCAGGTACACCAATCAGACGTAGATTTGGTCTTTTCACATAGTCCCATATTTCTTGGAGACTTTGTTCATTTCTTTTTATTTTTTTTTCTCTAAACTTCCCTTCTTGCTTCATTTCATTCATTTCATCTTCCATCACTGATACTTTCTTCCAGTTGATCGCATCGGTTCCTGAGGCTTCTGCATTCTTCACGTAGTTCTCGAGCCTTGGCTTTCAGCTCCATCAGCTCCTTTAAGCACTTCTCTGTATTGGTTATTCTAGTTATACATTCTTCTAAATTTTTTTCAGAGTTTTCAACTTCTTTGCCTTTGGTTTGAATTTCCTCCTGTAGCTTGGAGTAGTTTGATCATCTGAAGCCTTCTTCTCTCAACTCATCAAAGTCATTCCCCATCCAGCTTTGTTCCGTTGCTGGTGAGGAACTCCGTTCCTTTGGAGGAGGAGAGGTGTTCTGCTTTTTAGAGTTTCCAGTTTTTCTGCTCTGTTTTTTCCCCATCTTTGTGGTTTTATCTACTTTTGGTCTTTGATGATGGTGATGTACAGATGGGTTTTTGGTGTGGATGTCCTTTCTGTTTGTTAGTTTTCCTTCTAACAGACAGGACCCTCAGCTGCAGGTCTGTTGGAGTTTGCTAGAGGTCCACTCCAGACCCTGTTTGCCTGGATATCAGCAGCGGTGTCTGCAGAACCGCTGATTTTCGTGTTCCGTGAATGCTGCTGTCTGATCGTTCCTCTGGAAGTTTTGTCTCAGAGGAGTACCGGGCCGTGTGAGGTGTCAGTCTGCCCCTACTGGGGGCTGCCTCCCAGTTAGGCTGCTTGGGGTTCAGGGGTCAGGGACCCACTTGAGGAGGCAGTCTGCCCGTTCTCAGATCTCCAGCTGCGTGCTGGGAGAACCACTTCTCTCCTCAAAGCTGTCAGACAGGGACATTTAAGTCTGCAGAGGTTACTGCTGTCTTTTTGTTTGTCTGTGCCCTGCCCCCAGAGGTGGAGCCTACAGAGGCAGGAGGCCTCCTTGAGCTGTGGTGGGCTCCACCCAGTTCGAGCTTCTCAGCTGCTTTGTTTACCTAAGTGAGCCTGGGCAATGGTGGGCGCCCCTCCCCCAGCCTTGCTGCTGCCTTGCAGTTTGATCTCAGACTGCTGTGCTAGCAATCAGCTAGACTCCATGGGCATAGGACCCTCCAAGCCAGGTGCGGGATATAATCTACTGGTGCGTCGTTTCGTAAGCCCATCGGAAAAGCGCAGCATTCGGGTGGGAGTGACCCCATTTTCCAGGTGCCGTCTGTCACCCCTTTCCTTGACCACGAAAGGGAACTCCCTGACCCCTTGTGCTTCCCAAGTGAGGCAATGCCTCGCCCTGCTTCGGCTCGCACATGATGCGCTGCACCCACTGTCCTGCGCCCACTGTCTGGCACTCCCTAGTGAGATGAACCCGGTACCTCAGATGGAAATGCAGAAATCACCTGTCTTCTGCGTCGCTCACGCTGGGAGCTGTAGACCGGAGCTGTTCCTATTCGGCCATCTTGGCTCCTCCTTCCAATTTTAGATCTTTCCTGCTTTCCTCACCTCCATGTCCTGGAGTCATTCTCAAGGATAGCATTATCTTTATTATCGTCATCATCCATCGTCGTGATACTAAAACCCACCACTTCCTATTAGCGAATGCAAATAACATGCTAGCGAGTATGCTAACTCTCATTATCACTGCAAATGCTGTTCTCCTAACCAACACTCCTGCCCCTTTCTCCCACCTGCCATGCTAATACACCAGGCCTTCAGGCTGAGGTCAAAGGTCACTCTATCCTCCGGGCAGGATTAAACTTTCCCTCCTCTGTGTTCTGTGAGGCCGTAACATGTTTTCCTCGCATGCACTGCAGCATTGCAACTGCTCTCTCCCTCCTGTCTTCCCCGTTTTTCCGCCTTGAGCTCTTTGGAGGGTGTTGATCTTTTAATCATTGTGGCATCCCTAGCACCTAAGCATTTAACATGGTGCAAATCAAACACCCAGTAAAATGCTGGAAGAAAAAAATGAATCAATGCCTCCTCTCAGGCTAGTCACCTCCTCTATCCAAACCTGCTCTTGGCAACTCCTTTTCATGGAGGTACTGATTTCTGAGAACAGCATGGGGCAGAAGTCCTAGGCAGATTCCTGCTTGATCAGGATCCAAACCTCAAAAGTAAGGAGGGGGTAAGAGGCAGTATTCTAAGTGCTTTGTATGTCATTAGTCTCTACTCATTTAGTCTCTACAACTACCCTATGTAGTAGATTATGTTATTATACAAGTTTTACACATGAGGAAACAAAGGCACCAAGAAGTTAAGATCTGCCTAAATTTCATAGATAGTAAGCTGGGAGATGGAACTTGTGATTGAGCTGGGGTTTGAAGACAAGCAAACTGCCTCCAGAGACCCTGTGTGCTTGACATCCCACTCCACTGCCTCATACATGTATTAAGTGCTTACTATGTACCAGGCACAATGCAGATGTTCTACATGCAATACATATTTAATCCTCCTAACAAACTTGAGATGTACTATTAATCACCCCCGCTTTAGAGACCAGCACAGCCACATCTGGGTTAAGGCTTCACACTTATAAGAAGGAGTCTCCTGACTGAAGTGCAAGAGTTGGCTTTGACCTCCATTCAAGGCTCAACTGAGTGAATGGTTTGTGGGGAATATCTTCCCTGAGAACAATGCAGGTTTTCAGCAGTAAAGTGTCCCTATGCCATTGCCCCAGACCAGACCTAGAGAGCCTGGAGGGTGGTCAAGAAACAGTATGGACAGCTCAGAATTAAAGCTGGTAGCCAGAGGCCAGTGCCGGAAGCCGCCCTCTTTGAGCTGGGTATAGGGAGAAAGGAAGGGGTGTGGAGTCAATAGACCTAGCATCAATAACACTGCCCCTTCCCTCACCCCCTCATGAGCTCCATAATTTTGGATTCTTTAAACTTTTGTGCCTTAGTTGAGGCATTGGTAAGTTGAGGGAGATAATATCTCCTTTACAAGGCTGTTATAAAGATTACATGAAATGGGGTATGTAAAGCCCCTAATACAGAGGTCCCCAACCTTTTTGGAACCAGGGACCAATTTTGTTGAAGACAATTTTTCCATGGATTGGGGTAGGGGAATGGTTTCAGGATGAATTCAGTTCATTACATTTACTATATACCTTATTTCTATTATTATTACACTGTAATATATAATGAAATAATATACAACTCACCATAATGTAGAATCAGTGGGATCCCTGAGCTTGTTTTCCTGCAACTAGACAGTCCCATCTGGGGGTGATGGGAGACAGTGCCAGATCATCAGGCATTGGGTTCTCATAAGGAGCACACGACCTTGGTCCCTTGCATGCAGTTCATAATAAGGTTCACTCTGTTATGAGAATCTAATGCCGCCACTGATCTGACAGGAGGCGGAGCTCAGGCAAGCAACGGGGATCATCTGTAAATACAGATGTAAATACGGCTGTAAATACTTACTGGCCCACCACCTACCTCCTGCTGTGTGGCCTGGTTTCCAACAGGCCACCGACCAGGATTGGGAATCCCTGCCCTCATACATGCCTGGCATGTAATCATGATTTAATGTTAATATTAAAAATAATAACTGAGGCTCACAGAAGGACTTGGCTCAAGATTGTACAGTCCCTTCCTACTCAAACTTCTTTTTGTAGTTTCTATTTTCATTGTTGACTCCAGCACCCTGTCAGTTACCATAGTTTAAAACCTCAGAGTCCTCTTTGTCATGTCCTTTCCCCTGAAAGCCCCCCTCCCACCTGACTTCCAGTTTAGGTAGCGAGCAAGTGCGCAGTAATGGGTAAGTCTATCTGCTGGGTTGCATCCTCATTGTTTCTGGCCCCTTCTATCTCTCTTCTGGACTAATGCAATAACCCTCTCAAGAACTAGAGGCCAGCACAGTGCCTAGTGCTTAGTTGGTACTCAATAAATATTGCTGAATGAATGCTGTCATGCTCTCTTTAGACATTTTCATTCTCAATCGAAACTTTCCCTGCAAACAAATTATCTAATCCAGAGATAACTTCAAATGCCTTGCCATGCACACACAAGGCCCCCCCCCACCAGTTCACATGTGGTCCCATCTCCCCAGCTGACCACACCCCATGTCATTTCCTGTTGTATCCTTCATAATTCTCATCATTCCTCTGCCTTTTTTCATTCTGTTCTCTGTGCTTGGAATGCCCTTCCTTTCCCTTCTAGGTCTGCTCTGTGAATCCCTAGTGACTTTTCAAAATAATGTTGATTGATTCCACAAATATTTATTGAGTACCCACTATGTGGCAGGCACTGTTCTAGGCTCTGAGGCTATATTGGGGAACAAAATAGAAGTCCCTGACCACATGATGCTTACAGTTTACTGAAAAACCAGTAGCAGAAGCATCTGACCTGGTTAGAAATGGGTGGGAGGAGGCGGACTTGCAGCTCTAGCAACCTCCCCCAAGAACCTTTTCTCAAACACTCCTTCCATTCTCAGATAGCATCATCCACCTTCATCCTGGTGCCCTCTCTGTACCTGGGACACCTGATTGTAACTGACAGTTTACATGTCTGTCTCCCAGTGATGGCTGGGAGTGTTTTCCTTCTGTGTCTGAAGTTTGTTCATTGGAAGGAAGGAGTAAAGAAGGAAAAAAAGAAAGGAGAGGAGGCTGGAGGAAGGAAAGATTTCCAAGTAGTGGAACAGGAAAGTTTCAAAGAAAAGGAAGGGCTGCAGAGGTGAGTGAGATTTCAGATTCCTCCTGTAGACAAATTGAAATTTATCCTTTCCACAAACACTCACACCCTAACTTAGATAACTCAGGTATTCAAATGGCTGAAACCAGCTCTAGAACTCTTCAACCCTGTTGGTCTGGATTGTCGGCATTTAGCATGCTTCTGTGGCTCCCAAATCTGGATGGCTTTTAGCCGATCCTTCACAGTCACTCTGAGAAATAAGTCAACTTCACCAAAAAGTTGAGGTCACTGAGGAGAAGGGCATGGGAGAACAGGAAGAGAATTAACCCTTGGCCTTTCACACAGAAAGGATCTAATTTAATGCTACAACCTCCCCAGTGTGGTATTATTAACCCTTTTGTGGTGGAAAACACTGGAGGTCAGAAGTAAGTAATTTGCCCACAGTTTCCAGATAGTGGTAGAGATCAGATCCAAACATATCATCTAGCCCAAGATACCATACCCTTATCTCAGTCCAAGTTTAGGGTCTATAGCAGTGTTCCTCAGCTTGACACTGTTGACATTTTGACCTGAATAATTCTTTGTTGTGAGAGCCTATTGTATTAGTCCGTTTCTACACTGCTGATAAAGACATACCAGAGACTGGGAAGAAAAAGAGGTTTAATTGGACTTACACTTCCACATGGCTGGGGAGGTCTCAGAATCATGGTGGGAGACAAAGGCACTTCTTACATGGCAGCAGCAAGAGAAAATGAGGAAGAAGCAAAAGTGGAAATCCCTGATAAACTCATCAGATTTTGTAAAACTTATTCACTATCACAAGTATAGCATGGGAAAGACCGGCCCCCATGATTCAATTATCTCTCCCTGGGTACCTACCACAAGACCTGGGAATTCTGGGAGATACAGTTCAAGTTGAGATTTGAGTGGGGACACAACCAAATCACATCATTCTGCCCCTGGCCCCTCCAAATCTCATATCCTCACATTTCAAAACCAGTCATGCCTTCCCAACAGTCCCCCAAAGTCTTAACACATTTCAACATTACCTCGAAAGTCCACAGTACAAAGCCTCATCTGAGACAGGGTAAGTCACTTCCACTGATGAGCCTGTAAAATCAAAAGTAAGCTAGTTACTTCCTAGATACAATGGGGGTACAGGTGTTGGGTAAATACAGCCATTCCAAATAGGGGAAATTGACCAAAACAAAGGGGTTGTAGGGCCCATGCAAGTCCAAAATCCAGTGGGGAAGTCACATTTTAAAGCTCCAGAATGATCTCCTTTGACTCCAGGTCTCATATCCAGGTCATGCTGATGCAAGAGGTGGGTTTCTATGGTCTTGGGCAGCTCCACCCCTATGGCTTTGCAGGGTACAGCCTCCCTCCTGGGTGCTTTCACAGGTTGACGTTGAGTGTCTCTTCCATGCACATGGTGCAAGGTGTCAGTGGATTTACCATTCTGGGGTCTGGAAGATGGTGGGCCTCTTCTCATAGCTCCACTAGGCAGTACCCCAGTGGAGACTCAGTGTGGGGGCTTCAACCCCACTTTTCCCTTCTGTACTGCCCTAGCAGAGGTTCTCCATGAGTACCCTGCCCCTGCAGCAAACTTTTGCCTAGGAATCCAGGCATTTCCATACATCTTCTGAAATCTAGGCGGAGTTCCTAAACCTCAATTCTTGACTTCTGTGCACCTGCAGGCTCAACACCATGTGGAAGCTGCCAAGCCTTGAGGCTTCCACCCTCTGAAGCCACAGCCCAAGCTCTATGTTGGCCCCTTTCCGCTATGGCTGGAGTGGCTGGAACACAGGGCACCAAGTCCCTAGGCTGCAAAAAGCACGGGGATCCTGGGCCTGGCCCATGAAACCATATTTTGCTCCTGGGCTTCCAGGCCTGTGATGGGAGAGGCTGCAATGAAGGTCTCTGACATGGCCTGGAGACATTTTCCCGGTGGTCTTGGGGATTAACATTAGGCTTCTTGTTACTTATGCAAATTTCTGCAGCCAGCTTGAATTTCTCCTCAAAAAATGGGTTTTTCCTTTCTACTGCATCATCAGGCTGCAAATTTTCTGAACTTTTATTCTCTGTTCCCCTTTTAAAATGGAATGCTTTTAACAGCACCCAAGTCAACTTTTGAATGCTTTGCTACTTAAGAATTTCTTCTGCCACATATTCTAAATCATCTCTCTCAACTTCAAAGTTCCACAAGTCTCTAGCACAGGAACAAAATGTTGCCAGTCTCTTTGTGAAAACATAACACGAGTCACCTTTACTCCAGTTCCCAACAAGTTCCTCATCTCCATCTGAGACCATCTCAGCTTGGACCTTATTGTTCATATCACTATCAGTATTTTTGTCAAAACCATTCAACAAGTCTCTAGGAGGTTCCAAACTTTCCCACATTTTCCTGTCTTCTTCTGAGCCCTCCAAACGGTTCCAGTCTCTGCCTTTTACCCAATTCCAAAGTTGCTTCCACATTTTCAGCTACTTTTTCAGCACTGCCCTACTCTACTGGTACCAATTGACTGTATTAGTCTATTTTCATGCTGCTGATAAAGACATACCCAAGACTGGGAAGGAAAAAGAGGTTTAAGTGGACTTACACTTCCACATGGCTCGGGAAGCCTCAGAATCATGGCAGGAGACAAAAGGCACTTCTTATATGGCGGCAGCAAGAGAAAATGAGGAAGAAGCAAAAGCAGAAACCCTGGATAAACCCATCAGATCTCATGAGACTTAACATTAGGCTCCTTGTCACTTACGCAAATTTCTGCAGCTGGCTGGAATTCCTCCTCAAAAAATGGAGTTTTCCTTTCTACTGCCTCATCAGGCTGCAAATTTTCTGAACTTTTATTCTCTATTCCCCTTTTAAAATGGAGTGCTATCATGAGAATAGCATGGGACTAGCATGGGAAAGACCAGCCCCCATGATTCGATTACCTCCCTCTAGGTCCCTCCCACAACATGTGGGAATTCTGGGAGATACAATTCAAGTTGAGATTTGGGTGGGGACACAGCCAAACCATATCACCCGTCCTGTATATTATAAGATGTTTAGCAGCATCCCTGGCCTCTACTCAGTAGATGCCAGCAGCACTCTCACCTTCCCATACATAAATGTCTCTAGACATTGCCCTACATTGTCTGGAGGACAAACCTCCCCACTGGCCTATCCCAAATGAGCAACTTGGACAAGTTGCTTGGACTCTCTGGGCTTCTGTGTCCTCCTCTGTAAAATAGTCTGGGTGAGTGATCTCCAAGTGCTCCATGACACATCAGGGGATAGGTAGTAATTTTATTTATATTTGTATTCTTAATCTTATCTATGTATATTTCATTTTATCCAAGATAAGAAATTAACCTTTAGTATTAAAACAAAGTATAACAAAAATATAGTATTTGCTATATAAATTTTGTTTTTTGAGGCAGGGTCTAGCTTTGTCACCCAGACTGGAATGCAGTGGCACAATCTCAGCTGACTGCAGCCTCAACCTCCCAGGGCTCAAGTGATTCTCCCACATCAGCCTTCACAGCATATGAACCTACAGTCATGCACCACCACGCCTGGTTAATTTTTTTAGAGACAGGGTTTTGCTATATTGCCCAGGCTGGTCTTGAACTCCTGGACTCCAGCGATTCACCCACCTCTGCTTCCCAAAGTGCTGGGATTACAGGCATGAGCCGCCGTACCCGGCCTGCTATACAAATTATTGGCAGAACACATATATGTTTCTAAATAAATATGATTGATGAGGACATGTTTCATATATTTACTGAGAGAGATGAGCAGCCAGAAGGGTTTAGAGACCACCCTGTCCAATGGTTCTAAGGTTCCTGTCAGGTGACTATCCTCGGAGTTTGGAGAATGAAGGAGAGCCCTCTGCAGGATTGCAATGCCAGTGGCACTTGTCATTTCTGAGCTTCGGTTTCTGCGTCAATTAAATGGAGAGAAGAAAGAACCTACCTCACGTGATTGTTACATGGATCAAAGGAGGTAATGCATGTGCAGTGCTTAGCACAGTGTGTAGAATGGCACTCAGAAATGTTCTCATGTTTTAGGCCAGGCATGGTGGCTCGCGCCTGTAATCCCAGCACTTTGGGAGGCCTAGGTGGGGGAATCACCTGAGGTCAGGAGTTCAAAAGCAGCCTGGCCGACATGGCAAAACCCTGTCTCTACTAAAAACACACAAAAAATTAGCAGGTGTGGTGGTGGTTGCCTGTGGTCCCAGCTACTCAGGAAGCTGGGGCAGTAGAATTGCTTGACCTGAGAGGTGGAGGTTGCAGTGAGCCGAGATCACGCCACTGTACTTCAGCCTGGGTGACAGAGTGAGACTCTGTATCAAAAAAAAAAAAAAAGAAATGTTCCTATGTGTTCTATCACAGATGAGGAAACTGAGCCTACAGAATATTCCAAAACCCTCCTTAGGTCTCCTACTTTTGTATGGTGAGGCCCATATTCAAACCTTAGTGTCACCTTGGTCCAGCGCACCTCCCCACCACTTCAACCCTATGAGACTCCAGAGAAATTACTGAGGAAAGAGACCACTGTGTTCTTGCCCTTACACACCTGTGTCTATAGTATCTGGCACATAGTAGGGTGTATCAAACATCTCTTGAGCTTGGTTGAATAAATAAACTGGCTCCCAGCCCCATTTCATGTTATATTTCTGTCAGCTTTGATTTATACTTTCCTTGGGGAACACAAAATGCAAAGCTATTGCTTTAAACGGTAGACAATATGAAGGGGTTCATTAAAATTTTTTTAAGTAAATAAATGAATGAATGAACAATCAACCAAGACAGTTTGTTTTGGAGTCAAACCTTAGTCATAGTCATATTTCACAAAAATTCCAAAAGTGTTCAGGAAATGATACTCTCCAGCACCCTAGAATGTTCCTTCAAAGCTTGTATCATGGTTAATAATTGTATGGTCATCAGTTTTTCCTCCCATCCCCCTCGCATAGACTGCAGTCTACACAAAGTCAGGGACTATGTCCTTTGTGCTCATTGTCATATCTCTAGTGCCCTGTACTATGCCTGGTATACAGTGGCACTCACTAAGTGTATACTGACAGAACATGTGAGTCTATAAAGTGAGATATCATTCTAGCATCTCTTGCATTTTAGAGCTCAGGCTCAGAAGAGGGAAATGTCTTGGCCAAGGTCTCTCAGCCAGCTAGTGTCAGAACCAGGTCAATGACATAATTTATTTCTCCCTCCCTTCCTTTACCCAGGAATACTGGGGACTGTGACCTTCCAGGTGCTCAGAATCCCAGGGATGTCTCTAAAGAGAAAGGAACTCTCTTGAAAATCCCTTGGGGAAACCAGTGGAAGATTTATGACAGCGGGGGAAGGAACCCCTCCAGACTTCATCAAGGCCCAAGCTGAGAACTCGGCACAGCCCCATCCTCTGCCTACCCTAGCTCCTAACTCAAAAAGAAGTGACTAAAAAAGTGCTTTGCAAATGCACAGTTGTCCCAGAAGGAGGCATCTGTTAGTGCACACCAGCCCTGCGCTCCCCAAAACCACGTAGCTCCTCTTCCACCCACTCACTCACCAGTCTTTTCTCTGGTCATACCAATCCATGTGAGCGGTGGTTGGCTATGCTATTTACTGCTTGTGTGAAAATTTGGGCAAAATTCTTGATATCACTATGCCTCAGTGCTCTCTATGTAAAATGGACACAGTAACAGTGTCTACTTCACACGGTTGTTCTGAGAATTTGGAGTTAATATATGTAAATGGCTAAGGGCAGTATCTGGCACATTGTGCTGTGGAAGTGTGGGTTTCTATGACTCTGTGCTGGGCACTGACAATATCCTCCTTATCTCTTAGGCCCCTCCATTGTGATCTCTATTATGAATGCATGTCTGTGGTCCCAGCAAATACCTACTTCCCTACTGTGTGCCAGGTCCCATGCTTGCTCATCTTCCCAGGGCCATTACTCCAGAAATTCTCTCCTTTCTCTCTGGTATCATCAATGTTTGCCTCTAAGACTTCATAATTCTTAGTAGCACAAAAAAAAATACTGTTATTTCTCCTATACACACAAAAATACACACACACACACACACACATGCACACTCTTCTTTTGAGCCCACATCCTCCTCCAACTCTCTTTGCTCTTGTATAGCAAAACTCCTCAAAAGAGTTGAATATAGGCCATACCTTCAAATTCTCTTCTCCCCTCTGCTATTGGATTTACCCTGGTCAGGCTCTTGCCCCCACCCTATTCCAAACTGCTCTAGTTAAAGTGAACAGTGACAACTCACCATAAATCCAGTGGTCAAGTCTCAGTCTGGATCTTAACAAATGAGGCAGCAGCATTTGAAATAACTGTTCACTTCCTCCTCCATGACACTCTTTTTGCATTTGGCTTTCAAGAACAGTTTCTTAGTTCCCCTCCTATCTCGTTGGCTTTTCCTTTGTCTCCTTGGAATGTTCCTCCTCATCTTCCCAAACACTTATGCTGGAGGCCCTGGAGCTTGGTCCCTGCCTCTTCTCTTCCGTATCTACCTTCATGCTCCTGTGATCTCATCCAGGATCCTGGCTTTAAATACCATCTGTACACTGTGGACATCCAAATGTCCAGCATCTCCCCTATCTGCTCAACACCTCCATGTGGCCGTCTTTAGGCATTTTGCTTTTAATAAGTTAAAAAAGAAATCAATTTCCTGGAAGTCCTAGCCAGAGCAATCAGGCAAGAGATAGAAATAAAAGGCATCCAAATAGGAAAATAATAAGTCAAACTATCTCTCTTCACTGATGATTTGATTCTATACCTAGAAAACCCTAAAGAGACTCTACCAAAAGGCTCCTGGAAGTGATAAATGACTTTGGTAAAGTTTCAGGATACAAAATCAATGTACAAAAATTACTAGCATTTCTATACACCAATAATGTTTGAGCTGAGAGCCAAATTAAGAATACAATCCCACTTACAATAGCCACACACACACACACATCTAGGAATACATCTAACTGAGGAAGTGAAAGATCTCTACAAGGAGAACTATAAAACACTGCTGAAAAAATCATAGATGACACAAATGAAAAAATCTTCCATGCTCATGGATTGAAGAATCTATATGGTTAACATGGCCATACTGCCCAAAGCAATCTACAGATTCAACATTATTCCTATCAAACTACCAAGACCGTTTTTCACAGAGCTAGAGAAAACTATTCTAAAACTAT